>NT_167245.2:3767029-4067029 GCF_000001405.40 Homo sapiens
GGCCATCCTTAATTTCTTCATTCATAAACTTTGCTTAAAAGGCTAAAATTCCCAATTCTGTATAAAAAATATATTCTTGCCCTCAGTCCTGATGGCCACTGGCAAAGACTTTTATTTCCCAATGGATGAGAGAGGCTCCTTTGTCTTCTTGGTCATAGTTGGGATGAGATGCATGTGGTCATCCACACACTTGGTCACACAGCCAACCAGCTGCTGCTTCACCTGAAGCTCCTTACTCCCAGCATCTATTGAATCTTTGGCTTTGTGGTTGCAATGCATGGTGCACCGGGCCAGGCAGTCCTGGAACTCACTGGTGACCAAAGCCTGGGATTAAGCCAGAGGAACATGGCAGAGTTTGACACACTGGTGCACCTGCTGCATGGAAGCCTGCCTGTCCTCACGACAGCTGGCACTTCAACGGAACATGAGACCCTGCATATTCCGGATGTTCTCTCTCTCCAGATTGTTCAGGATGGAGTCCACTGCCTCCTGCACCAGCAGCGGCTGCAGCTCCTCCATGGCGACCCCGTGCTGCCCCGTGTGGCGCCGCCCATTTCTTTATTTTTAAAAATATATGATTTTGCTCTTTTTCTTCCCATGTGCATTAGGCCCACTTTACAAAGGTTGAATCCTGGCTTGTCTGAGCCCGTGTGATCCCACGGTCATTCCAATGTGTGAGAAAGTGGGTACTGGGAATACCCTGGAAAGTGTAGTTGCTCCTCATAAAGGCACACAGGAAAGAGTAGTATCCTTTTCCTGCCTTTGGGACTTGTTGTGAAAGAATAAGAAACCTAAAGCTGCTGCGAGGGTCCTCCTACCATCTCAGCTGATGTGCTGCTTGTGATGGAGAGATGAGCTATGAAGTTCCAGGATCACTGGTGATGCCACCGGCCTGCTGAGTTGAGCAAACCTGGAGATGCCCAGCCTTGGATCTGTTAGGCTATGCGGATAATGGGTTAAAGAAAAATAAAGGTCGGATTTCCTGCTATTCGCAGCAGAAGTCATCTTCATTGAAATATTCATCCCACACATTTTAGTTCTACCTTATAATTCCACACAACAAGTCTGAAGACAAATCATTTCCTCAGCTTAGGGAACAAAGCCTATATGTTGCAACGCTGGAATCAAACAGAGCAGACATAATTATCAGGTTAATATATTCCTATAGGATTTACATTCTTATAGGATTTATATGTACTTGTACTGCTATGTATGTACAAGTAACATATAATTAAAAATAAAATGCATAAAACAAGCATTGAATTTGAAAACAAAATAACAGTTGTTTCTGACAGTAGAGAAATTATGCTCAAATGATTATTACTTTGAAATAAACTTTTGAATTGATTATGTACTTTTAGATTTCACATGTTTGATACTGACTCAGATAGAACACAATGGAGAACCCTCCATCTTCTAAATTTGTCTTTCTCTGAAATGTGTAAAAGTCCTTTGATAATACTATATTACTTACATCTCTGGAATGAAAAATTATGTACTAATTTACAGTTATGGATACACAATACTGTAGATGGGGTTAAGAAAGAGTCTGATGAACTTGCTAGCTGGTTTCTCATCTCATGTTGGCCAAGTTTGTTTTAGTTGTTATAGTCTGTTCTCAGGTTTTATGCATTGGCTTTTTAAACATTAGGTTTACTTTTTTAATTGACAAGTAAAAATTGTATATTTATGTTGTGCAGCATGAAGTTTTGATACATGCCTATGTGGAATGTCTAAATCAAGCTATTTAACATATACACTACCTCACATACTCATGACAGCTACATGAAAACCATCATTCTTTTGGGAAATAATTTTCTTTCTTTCTTTTTTTTTGTCCTTGGAGCCAAATGGTCCAGATGATTTTTTGTTTGTTTGTTTGTTTTGTTTTTTTGGCTTTTTTTTGAGACAGACTCTCACTCTCACCAGAGTGGAGTGCAGTGGCACGATCTCGGCTCACTGTAACCTCCACCTCCCAGGTTCAAGTGATTCTCCTGCCTCAGCCTCCAAGTAGCTTGGACTACAGGTGCATGCCACCACGGCCAACTAATTTTTATATTTTTAGTAGAGACGGGGTTTCACCATATTGGCCAGGATGGTATTGATCTATTGACCTCGTGATCTGCCCGCCTCGGCCTCCCAAAATGCTGGGATTACAGGCATGAGCCACAGTGCCTGGCTGGACTAGATGATTTTTATCTCCGTGTGTGAGAAACATTTAATAATGTAATGTGTTTGTGGCACAAGGGGGGAGTACAGATGCACGGGAGGCAGGAAGGGTTAGGTAAAGGGGAGCACAAAAGTTGAAGATGAGGTGCTGCCATCAATGCCAGGACTTCAGGCCAAAGGCAGGGGCTGAGGAAGCCACAAGGGAGGACATTTTCTGCAGAGTTGCTGAACCAGTAGCAACCAGATCCTGAGAAAGCCCTCTCTTATGGAAGAATAACAGCCAGGTGGGAAAGCTTTTCATCCTGCAAAGCTGGGGAAGAAGGTTCCTCCTTGAATGTGGTCATCTTCACTTCAGCTCAGGAGTCCTGCAAAAGACAGAGGAGAGTGTTGTTTTCAGATCTGGCTCTACTAACAGCTTCCTTTCCCCTCTTTCAAGGACTCAGATGAGAGCACTGCAGGAAGAAGAAAAACAAGTTCTTAAGTCTCCATGAGCCAGTACTCCTGCAGAGCACAGGCCTTTTCTATGTGGAGAGAAGGAGTTTTGGTGTAAATTGCCTGATCAGAAATTTGAATCCAAAGTCTTTTTATTATTTCTGTCTCATGCCTTATCACCTCCACTATCATTCTAGGGAAATCGAATCTGTTTCTAAAAGAGAATTAAAAGGTATTACCTGTTGGTTGAAGTCCAGAGTGTCCTAGGAGAAAGAGGAAAAGATATACACTTAAAAGATATGGAAGCAAATCTGTCCTCCAACACAATGTCCCAGCCCCAGATCTCCCACCTGAGATTTGTCTAACACCACAACCCACAGCAACCAGGGCAGAGAGGAGCAGAAACAGACCATGTGACCCATGAAGCGTGATATGTCTGTCACACGATCCAGTGTAATTGCATTAGTCTTAGTGGCTCTTCCTTAATTTGCTCCAGGATGTCAAACGAAAGGACTCTTTTTTTTTGAGATGGAATGTCACTCTGTCGCCCAGGCTGGAGTGCAGTGGCGTGATCTCGGCTCACTGCAAGCTCCGCCTCCCGGGTTCATGCCATTCTCCTGCCTCAGCCTCCCGAGTAGCTGGGACTGCAGGCGCCCACCACCATGCCCAGCTAATTTTTGTATTTTTAGTAGAGACGGGGTTTCACTGTGTTAGCCAGGATGGTCTCGATCTCCTGACCTGATGATCCACCCGCCTTGGCCTCCCAAAGTGTTAGGATTACAGGCGTGAGCCACCATGCCTGGCCTAAGGACTCTTTCTTACTAACCTTTCTTTTATCACTGCAGGCCACAAGCTATTATGCTTTGACATAGTAACCATGCACTGATGATTTCTGGATTATCAGGACATTGGAGGTCATTTGCGGAAAGAAAGGCTTTATCTAGGGCCACTCATATACTGAGAACTAACCTCAGCAAAGCCATATTTCCTCCTCCAGATAAGTCTATGGAGAGAGCCGATACAAAAGACTCCTCAGCTTTCTGATTCCTGAAGTAGATGAACAGCCCGGCCCCAAGGAAGAGCAGGCCCAGCACGAAGCCCCCGACTCCACTCAGCATCTTGCTCTGTGCAGATTCAGACCATGCTCCTGAGAGAGGAAGCAAGGATTAGTGATTTTTATCCTAAATGGAACCTCTTTAATTGAGACCCTGAGATTCAGAGCTTTGAAAATAAGAGAGAAGGCTTCCCTGCAAGAATGAAAATAACTGATCATTTCTGGAGAAAAAAATGATTTTCAAATCACACTGCACAGTTACAAGGTTCAGGCATCAAACTCATTCAAATATTACAGCCTTGATGTAAGGCACAACTTCAACATCTGATCAACAGAAAGTCTGAGACTCAATGAGGTTAAGTAGTTTGGCTAGAGTGACAGAGCTAATAAAAGGCAAAGCTGAGACTGGATTCCCCTCATGTCAGGAGGGCCCCTACATTACTTCTCTTCTCAGGTCAAAAAAACAACTCAGAGCAACAGCACCAGAAACACAGTCTCACACCCAGAGGCAGGGCCTGGAGCCCAGGGAGAGCAGGTGAGCCTGATCTGTGACATCATGGGGAGGTTCAAAACAGGGACAGCCTCTCCTGCTTGGCAGGCATGACTGCTTCCCCAGGGGGTACAGGTGTTTCTAGAAAGTATTACAGGGCTACCCCCCAGTGACCTGTGCTAATGGAGATGAGAACATGGAGCAAATGAAAACATGATGTGGGAGAGAAGAAACCTGACACTCAGGGATTACCAAAGACCCCTTCATGGTTGGTGAGAAATGTATGAAGTCAGAAAGCTGCTCACTCCATTCCACTGCATGAGAAGGCTCATCATGCTTGGGTGCTCCAGTTGACAGGTGTAAACCTCTGCATTCTGAGGAACTGTTTCCAGCATCACCAGGGTCTGGAAGGTCCAGTCTCCATTCTGGATCAGGCCTGTGGACACCACCCCAGCCTTCTCTTCCTGGCCATTCTGGAACCACCTGACTTCAATGCTGCCTGGATAGAAACCACTCACAGAGCAGACCAGGAGGTTGTGGTGCTGCAGGGGCTGGTCTTTTGAAGGATACACAGTCACCTTAGGTTGGACTAGGAGAAGAACAAGTAGAGGGAATGAGTCAGGAAGAAGAGTAAGTCTCCATGTTTTGCTGTTTGTCTGCTTCTCTGTAAACCCAGGCTCTGGCCTTGACCAGGCCTCCAACACAGCTGGCCATGTGGCCTCACAGTGTCATCAGCCTGGAATTGAATCTTTATAAGGAGGACCCATTAGATTTGAGAGATGTTGTGAAAAATTGTGTTTTTGTGAAAAGCTGTGTGTTGGGAGAGAAGCTGAGGCAGGGCTTGCATGTCTGCTAGACTTGCTTCTAGCACTCCTGTTATCTCAAGCAGCCATGTTTCTCATTCACTTGATACACTGTTTCCTTTCAACCCCCACATCCTCACCAATTGTTTGTTTGTTTGAGCACCAATAAGTAGCATGGGCTCCCAGAGCTCAGGGCCTTTGCAGCCTCCACACTCACAATGGCCCCCTGGTCCCACTTTCTCTCTTAGACTGTCTTTTTCTCATTCCTTTGACTCTGTTGGACTTCGTTGCCCCCATGATCTGGTGTTGGGTCTGATCACCCCAACATACCTGGCTGTCCAATGTGGGGTGACAAAGGCTCTGGTGAAGGAATGCTAGAGCATGTGACAGCAGAGGACGCATTGTCAAAGGACACTCAAGGACACTTAAAAGAAGCTCAGCAGGAAAGCTGAGTGCCCGGAAAACTAAGGTAACAATAGAACAAAGTGAAAGCAGACATTCTGCTTATTTAAATTTTTTTAAAGCATTTGTTATGAAGTGGGGGAGTGAAAGTTAGTACTCAGAGTTTGTTATCACTTTTTAGTAGAGTGAAGCAGTTTTGTCCATGGTTCCCGCAGCGGGGGACTGTGGAGTTGGATGGATGGGGGAGAATTGGAGGAGATTTTGGAAGGGCATATAGGGATGGAGTAGTGGCAGGTGCCATGGTGGGTGCTGCTGGGGCGACGATGGCAGGGGGCCCTGAGGTCACCCTCCCGGGTGCGGTGAGGGAGGAGGGGACCACGAGCCCATCCCTTCTTTGAGAGGCCCTCCAGCCACCACCATCCCATGCCCCTATGGTGGCCCCTGGGCTGGCCCATGGCCGCAGGCCTCACAGCTGCTGCCACTGATGGGTCAGAGCCACCCTGCAAACTTGGGAGGCATGGGGAGGTGGCCTCTGGCTCCAGGGCAGGGCTGCAGGGGCAGGCGGGCTGTGAAGCACCCAAGGCTGCGGCACCGCGGAGAGACTGGCACGGCTGAGCGCCCACAAGTGCTCCCAAGTTCACGAGTGGCTGTGGCAGTCCTACTGCGGCTACCTCACCTGGCGCAGCATCCCGGCTGCCTTCCCCACCTACTGCAGCCCCCAACCATCCCCACGGAGCTTCCCTTTGGGCAGCGCTGCTGTCCCCCAGGCCACAGGCCTAACCTGGGAACAGCTGCTGGCATCAGCACCCCGGCTCAAGTCGTGGGCCTGGGACCCCAGGCTCCTCATGTGCAGGCATCAGTCTGGGTCACTCCAGTGACAAAGGTAGGATCCATAGCCCCTTCGGGAAGCCCGAGCGAGACCAGGTGACAGGCAGGCAGATAATATGTTATTCTATCCTTGGCCCACAGATTTATGGTAGAGATAGTGGATTTCTTTATTCTCTTCTTTGTAAAAGCAACCATTATCTTAAGCATTATGCACCTCAGTGGGATAAAGGATATTTCTAAGTTTGCTATGCATTATACAATAGAAGAAATGAATGAAGACACATCACTGGAAGACTTGCAGAAAATGATGGTTGTGGCTCTTTTATACAGATTATTAATTTGTTTCTATGAGATAATTTGCATTTGGGGAGCAGGTGGAGCTACCCCAGGGAAGTTCCTGCTGGGCCTTTGAGTTGAGACATGTGATACATTAGTGCTTATTGCACCAAGTCAGGTTTTAGTGATGCCTTCCTCAAATGTTAGCATTACAACGAGCTTTGATCAAGAATTTTTTGATTGCTTCTTTTTTTCCCTGCTTATATCACACTGCTGTTTTTTCAGCATAATTGAACAGCCTATGACACTGTAGCAGGAACCATTGTGGTAAAAAGAAATGGGGTCAGATGATGCCCCCCAAAGCCCTGATTTCCACATGCTATAATAACGAGACTAAATTATGTATCAAGGCTATCAGTATCTCTAGGTTACACTAATTGATGATTTAGAAATTAAAGCAGTCACTCTAGTGTGATGCAGGTGACTACTCTGAAAGTATCGTTTTTACTTGAATGCCAAAGAATTTTTCCAGAAGAAAAACCTATTAAATTCAAGTATTAAAATTTTTAGATCAAAAAGGCAAATGATTATATAAACAATGGACAATATATACTTTCTTAAGATCTAAGAATTTGCTGAAAGCATTTTCAGCTTTGAAATCTCCAAATGAAACTTTAAAATTTATTTTGGTTTATCCCAAAATAATGGAAAATATCCAGTTGTGTTTTGTAAACACCTATGTAACTCATCTTTTAGTTCACACTTCCTGGGGAGCCACCAAAGAAGGTCCCCACGGGAGTTAGGGGACCCTTACCCTCAGGAACAGTTGGTCTATTACTTGGAAGGTCTAGTCTAAATTTAAAAGGTGTTACTGTACATACGAGAATAATTGACTCTGATTATACTGGGGAGATTCAATTAGTTATTAGTTCCTTGACTCCGTGGTCTGCCTCCCCAGGAGAAAGAATTGCTCACTTGTTGCTTTTACCTTATATAAAACTAGGAAGCAGCACAGTGAAAAGAACAGGAGGCTTTGGTAACACTAATCCAGCAGGAAAGGCTGTATATTGGGTTAATCAAGTGTCTGGCAAAAGACCTATTTGCACAGTAACTATACAGGGAAAAGATTTTGAAGGACTAGTAGACACTGGAGCTGATGTCTCTATTATTGCTATAAATCAATGGCCTGGCTCTGGCCTAAGCAAAAGGCATCCATTGGTATTGTTGGAGTAGGAGCTGCCTCAGAAGTTTTTCAAAGTTCCTTGATTTTACCATGTCAAGGACCAGATGGTCAGGAAGAGACAATTCAGCCTATCGTAATACCTATTCCTGTTAATCTATGGGGTAGAGACTTATTGCAACAATGGGATGCTGAAATATCTATTCCTATAGACCAATATAGTAATAATGGTAGACAAATGATGAAAAATATGGGATATCACCCGGGAAAAGGACTGGAAAAAGACAAAGTTGGGCAATTAGAACCTTTAGAATTAAAAGGGCAAACAGATCGGACCGGATTGGGGTGTCATTTTTAGGAGCAGCCATTGTTGAGCCTCCGGCTCCCATTCCTCTTGTTTGGCTAACTGCCAAACTGGTTTGGGTGGAGCAATGGCTGCTGAAACAGGAAAAACTGGAGACTTTAGAAGAACTGGTGCAGGAACAATTGTAAAAGGAACATATAGAGCCTACTTTCTCCTCTTGAAATTCTCCTGTATTTCTCATTAAGAAAAAATCAGAGAAATGGAGAATGTTAACAGATTTAAGGGCTATCAATGCTGTGATTCAACCCATGGGCATGCTACAACCAGGCTGCCCTCCCCAACAATGATCCCAAAATACTGGTCTCTCATAGTGATAAATCTAAAGGATTGCTTTTTTACCATTCCTTTAGCTGCCCAAGATTATGAAAAATTTGCTTTTACTGTTCTAAAGAAATTGTGCAACACTGTTCTGCCTGTCAAGTCCTGTATCTGCTACATCAAGGAAGAGGAGTTAACCCTAGAGGTTTATCTCCAAATTCCATCTGGCAGATGGATGTAACACATAGTCTTACTTTTGGAAAATTGTCCTTCATTCGTGTTTCAGTAGATACCTATTCACATTTTATCCGGGACACATGTCAAACAGGGGAAGCTACAGCTCATGTTAAAAGACATCTTTTATGTTGCTTTTCAGTTATGGGAACCCGAGAAAAAATAAAAACTGGTAATGGCCCAGGATACTGTGGTAAAGCCATGCCTATATTTTTTCAACAATGGAATATTACCCATACTGTGGGTATTCCATATAACTCAAAAGGACAGGCAATAGTGGAAAGAGCTAATTGTACTTTAAAAACTCAAATACAAAAGCAAAATGGAGGAGACCAGGAATATAAGACACCAAATATGCAATTGCATTTAGCTTTATTAACATTAAAGTTTTTTAATTTACAAAAAGATCAACCCATGACTGCAGCTGAACAGCACCTGAGAGGACAAAAAGAAAATAAAAAGGCTGGACAAGATATATGGTGGAGGGATGCACATACAAAGAGCTAGGAAAAGGGAAAGATAATTTTATGGGGAAGAGGATTTACTTGTGTCTCTCCAGGTGACAATCAGGTGCCTGTGTGGGTGCCCACCAAACATCTGAAGATCTATCATGAGCCACAGCATCTAGTGGACCCTCCTGTACAGTGCAAATTGAAGGCTTAAAGATTACATTTAAGCCTCGATTTGCTTTCTCTGTGCCTTCTGTTAGAAGGGGCCTGCTTCTCATTATCAACGGTAAGTTTTACCCTGTGGTAATTAACCAAAGAGGCCGAAGCTGAGTTACAAATGCTTCAGCAATGGCATGCCTCCCGGCTACAGCCACAAGTCTTCTTTTTCAGTAGCTTCTGTTTCAGTAGATTTACTAACGTGAGGGTGAGGGTATGCTTGTGTTTTTGCAGGAGATGAACAAACCATGTAGGTGCCCTCAAGATGTGTACGACCATGGAATGGGAGACCGGAGGGACCCATGGATCCCAACCATGGACCAGGTTCCCCCAGTACAAGCCATGCTGAGAAACTGCTGGAGTGCCACGGTTTTACCTATAGATGCTTAACGGACCAATGCTTTCTGACTGAACGCCTCTCTATCCTGAATACAAGAGACCTTAATAGGTAGATAGGAGTATCATCGCCCCTAGTTAGCATGAAGAAGTTACGGAAGACGGACCTTCATCCTTCTGCAACCCCTAGGATTAAGAGTCCTCTTGTAAAAGGGAAAGGGGAGATATGTAGGAAGCATTCAAACCAAAGTTACTCCATTTTGAATAAGGGCTCATAAAAAGGAAGCTGGATCACCAACTGGCAATTAAGGGCTACATAGCCTGCAAAAAGAGAAGGGGGGCATGTTGGGAGAAAACTGAGTGTTGGGAGAGAAGCTTGAGGCAGGGCTTGCATGTCTGCTAGACTTACTGGCTCCTTGCTTCTAGCACTCTCATTTTCTCAAGCAGCCATGTTTCTCATTCACTTGATACACTGTTTCCTTTCAACCCCCACATCCTCACCAACTGTTTGTTTGAGCACCAATAAATAGCATGGGCTTCCAGAGCTCAGGGCCTTCGCAGCCTCCACACTCGCAATGGCCCCCTGGTCCCACTTTCTCTCTCAAACTGTCTTTTTCTCATTCCTTTGACTCTGTTGGACTTTGTCACCCCCACGACCTGGTGTTGGGTCTGGTCACCCCAACAAAATTGTGTTTGTTTCTTCATAGCTTGAAATTGGTATGCATTGTCAAAATGTTTACAAATCTTTGAAAGTACAGAGTGTAGTCATTAAAACTGATTTCTGAGGCAGGTTGCCTGATTCAAATCCAATGTCTACCTGTAAGAGTTTTTCGATTCTGTGTCGCAATTTTCTCACCTATAATGGAGGATAATTATACTAATTTACCTCTTTGGGTTATATGATTAATATAATCCCAGGAGGTATATTGTTTTATATATTTTATGTGTATAAAACATTTATATATTGTTTCATATATTTTATGTGCATTAATCCCCAAGGGTTGAAATTAATGCATGTAAAATACATAAAACAATAACCGGGCCAGGCGTGGTGGCTCAAGCCTGTACTCTCAGCACTTGTGAGTCAGAAGCAGGCGAATTACGAGGTCAGGAGTTCAAGACCAGCCTGGCCAATATGGTGAAACCTGGTCTCTACTAAAAATACAAAAAATAGCTGGGCATTGTGGTGCGCATCTGTAGTCCCAGCTACTCAGGAGGCTGAGGCAGGAGAACTGCTTGAACCCAGGAGGCAGAGGTTGCAGTAACTGGAGATTGTGCCACAGCACTCCATCCTGGGCAATAAAGGGAGACTCCATCTCCAAAACAAAAAAACAGTGACTGAAGATAGCCTTCCATTGATGAGGTCAGAAAGCTGCTCACTCCACTCCACTGTGATAGGGCTCATCACACTTGGGTGCTCCACTGCGCACCTATTTATCATCCTTGAGAGATAAATATATTTTAAAGCAATGTGTATAGATAAAGGGACAGAGTAGAGTACATGAGGAAACTGAGTATGAATGTTTAGGAATATTACTGCCATGCACTCACACCTTAGAACACCACAGAGATGGTTTTGCCCCTAGGAAGGTGGGACAGACAGAAATCATTCTCCAAATCTTTAAGTTCCTAGAAAAGCATGAGTCCTAAGGCAGAGAGAAGGATTAAGGAACGTCATTTTAGTTTTGAAAGTTCTTATATTTACATTTAGCTGATCAATGCATCTCCCATGCAAAACAAGCATAACTATTATTAGGCCTGTCATGGTAAAATGATTTTTCTTTCCAGAATGAAATTTGGATCAAGGAAGGATCTGGGACTCACTACTTGGGATGCTTATGCCTATGCAAACCTCTGACACTAGGATACTCTTAATAAATACTATTTTTTTTAAGAAGGAAGGAGAAACCTGGAGACAACAATACCACAAAATGGTAGATTTAAGATGGATTGTAAATCATTAATATAAATTTTGCAATATATTTGATTAAATAAAAATGTTCAAAAAAAAATTTTTTTTTTGAGACAGAGTCTTGCTCTGTCACCCAGGCTGGAGTGCAGTGGCACGATCTTGGCTGACTGCAAGCTTCATCTCCCATGTTCACGCCATTCTCTTGCCTCAGCCTCCCAAGTAGCTGGGACTACAGGTGCCTGCCACCACATCCAGCTAATTTTTTTTTTGTATTTTTTGTAGAGATGGGGTTTCAGTGTGTTAGCCAGGATGGTCTCAATCTGCTGACCTCGTGATCCACCCACCTTGGCCTCCCAAAGTGCTGGGATTACAGGCAGGAGCCACCACGCCCGGCCAAAATGTTCAAATTCTTAACATGGAAAAGAATTTTCAAAATCAACATACAAACCACAAACTGGAGAAAATGTTGACTCAAATATCAATAAAGTGTTAATAATCTTACCATACAAAAAACTCACAAAATCACTGAGGAAAGTACAAAGCCCTAAAGATAATAGATAGTAGATCATTGTCCATTACCTACCAAATGCAATAGGGAATTCTTAGAACAGTAATTATAATTGGCCAACAAATAGGTCAAAATAATTCAAAAGAACTATATGTCAAAAAATATAAATTAAAAATTAACCATAAACATACATTTTAAACTTTTGGTGAATGTCATAATAAAGGTCAACAAAGGGGAAAGTGAGGTAATTTGTGTCACAGCTATTATATATAAAAGAATAATACGTAAGTAGTAGAAAACTATTGGCATTATAATAAAATAGCAACTGTGTTAAAACTTTAATTCAAAAGTTAGTTTCACAGTCACTTCAACTATGTAAAAATACGCACACTAAGAAAACAAAAAAGTGGCAAGAAATTTAGACCTAAAGAAGCTTCAGAGGTATCTCAGAGGTCTCCTCAATTCCCCTAGAAATTAAGGGTATGTGCCAGGGACAGTCTGGAACTGGCCTCCTCACATTATCCCAAACCTTCCATAACCCTCACCTCTCCTCCCCTAAACCTTCACCCCAACCACACAAATCTTACATTTCCCTTCCCTGAATCTCTAAGGACCCAGAACAATCAAGGTCTCTCTCTGCAGCCCCCTGCACCCACTTCCCATGTCACCTCCCCACAGAGGCCTCCAAGGATAAGAAGCAGCCCCCTCCTGTTTCCCCTCCCACAACAGCCAAAGACAAATCCACACTCTACACACACACCTCTGCCCTCAGAACCCCTTGCTCAGGATTGAGAGGATTCTAAATGTTCACAGATGTGTGTGTGTGTGTCTCTCTCTCAACACACAAACACTCAGATTCCCAGCTCACAGGGACTCAGACCCCGCCCCCCGCCGTGCTCATTTCGCCGCTGCACTGTGAATCTCTCCACAACCCCATAGTTGTGTCTGCATTAGTTGTCCACTTCGGCCCGCTTCTGCTCCAGGATGTCCTTCTGGCTGTTCCAGTACTCAGCGTCAGGCCGCCCCAGCTCAGTCACCGCCCGGAACTCCCCCATGTCGCTGTTGAAGCGCACGTACTCCTCTTGGTTATAGAAGTATCTTTACAGGTACCGCTCCGTCCCATTGAAGAAATGACACTCAGACTTAGCCTGCTCCAAGAAACGTGCTGTGGGGACACGAACGATCCGGTTACAGAAGCGGACTCCGGGGAAGACACTGACTGGCCCCACCCGCAACCTCGACTACGCGCAGCCCAGGGGCTCATCCTCTGTCTTTCTGAGGCGGACGGGGGTACGGGGGACCAGGTGGGAAAACTACCTCTGATCCCAAGGCTTTTGGGACCCCCTCCCTGCCTCCAGCCTGTTCTGGAGAACTCAGTGCAGGAGCTGGAGGAGGATCCACCTACCACCGCAGCCCACGCTGCCTCCTCCTGGGAGCCTCCACCCCCAAAACACTCTCTGCTCCTTCTCTCATCCCACACGCTTTACCGGTTCCTTCAGCAGTACCCACCGTGTTCATCCTGTGAACACTTCCTTAGTGATGACCTTGTGCCTGCCCTGCGCTGCCTCTAGGAATCCAAACAAGGGAAAACAGACCTCTCCACTCCACTGGGGGAGCTTAAAGAGCAGTGAAAGCGATGGCCAAAAACCAAACACGCAAGAGCTTAGACAGGGATGAGAAATGTCAGAAGTGTGGACTTCTAGAACAGAGGATAATAGGATGATCTCAATTACACTAGGGTGCCACAGAAGGACCCTCTGAAGAGTGTCAGTTCAGATGTGACTTGACAGGTTAAGCAGGTGTGAGCCAGGGGGCAGAGTGGAGCCTGTGTTGTCTGTTGGGACAAAACGGGAGGCACGTTTCAGGTTTAGGAAATCCCATGTACAAAAGCTTGAATTGATGAACTTCTTCAGGAAACTAGAACAAAGCTCACTAAAGCAGAGAGGCTGAGGGGAAGGAGGGTAAAATATTAGATTGGAGAAATCACAGGAGTCAGGTATTTAAAAGCCTCACTGATGGTGTTAGGATTTTGGATTTAACTAAAGACAATGGGAAAGTATTGAAGAGTTTTAAGGAGAATAAAACCATGATCCCCATAAATGAAATGTCCACAAGCCTGCCTTTGCATTTCTTTTCTTTTTTTTTTTTTTTTGCTACAGAGTCTTGCTCTGTCACCCAGGCTGGAGTGCAGTGGCGCAATCTTGGCTCACTGCAACCTCTGCCTCCCAGGTTCAAGCAATTCTCCTGCCTCAGCTCCCAAGCAGCTGTAGTTACAGGCATGTGCCACCACACCTGGCTAATTTTTGTATTTTTAGTAGAGACAGGGTTTCACCATGTTGACAGGCTGGTCTTGAACCCCTGACCTCAGGTGATTTGCCTGCTTTGGCCTCCCAGAGTGCTAGGATTACAGGCATGAGCCACTGCGTCCGGCCCTTCTTTTGCATTTCTAAGTCAACAAAGCTCAGAAATTAAGTTAAAAGAAATTTGCAGCACTTTGGGTGGCTGAGGCAGGTGGCTCACGAGGTCAAGAGATCGAGACCATCCTGGCCAACATGGTGAAACCCCGTCTCTACTAAAAATACAAAAATTAGCTGGGGGTGGTGGCACACGCCTGTAGTCCCAGCTACTCTGGAGGCTAAGGTAGGAGAATTGCTTGAACGCTGGATGCGGAGGTTGCAGTTAGCCAAGACTGAGTCACTGAACTCCAGCCTGGCGACAGAGCGAGACTCTCTCAAAAAAAGAAAAAAAAATTGTTCCCAAAACTCATTTGGTAAATCTTATAAGGGAAAATGGTCAAAGGTGTCTCAGAGCTCTTATTGGTGACATGTGCTTCTGTAGTTTCAATACATATGAACATACATACATATATGTGTGTAAATATACACATATGTAAAACACTATGTATATTTTTTGATGTTTTTGTCTTTATGTTTGACTGAAGTGTGAAAATGACTAAAATAACTTAAAAATAATCTTGTGGTTAAAAGTGAAATGAATACATAGAAGCATTTTACATTGTGAATAATATCAAATGTAGAATTACTACAGAAATCTGAGGTATGTTACTGAAAAACAATTGCAGCAGCATCACTATTTGTGACTTATACAGACAGGCTGTTGAAAGTTAATAGAAATAGTGATGACTCATGAAAATGTTGAAAAATATTGCATAAGGCAAAAAATAAATATGAAGGTATTGAACTTGCATTGACTAAATGGATTCAACAACAAAGGTTGTTGAATTTATGCAACTGTCAAGTTTTTTACAATAAAACAAGCAAAAATAAACCATAAAGAGCTGAAGTGGATGGTGAGTGTATAAAAGATCTGAGTGTAGAATTTTCAGAAAGAGAACAGTGTGAACTGGTGCTCTCAGCCTCAGCACTATTAACATTTTGGACTAGGTAATTCTTTTTTTTTTTTTTTTTTTTTTTTTCAGACAGAGTCTCGCCCTGTTGCCCAGGCTGGAGTGCAGTGGTGCCATCTTGGCTCACTGCAAGCTCCGCCTCCGGGTTCACGCCATTCTCCTGCCTCAGCCTCCCGAGTAGCTGGGACTACAGGTGCCCGCCACCACGCCCGGCTAATTTTTTGTATTTTTCGTAGAGACAGGGAGTCACCATGTTAGCCAGGATGGTCTCGATCTCCTGACTTTGTGATCTGCCCACCTCGGCCTCTCAAAGTGCTGGGATTACAGGCATGAGCCACCACACCCAGCCCAGATAATTCTTTGTTGGTGACAGAGGCCGTTCTGTACATTGTAGGTTCTCTAGCGGTGTCCCTGGCTCCTACTCATTAAATATCCGAAGAAAACCCTGTTGTGACAATCAAAAATTGTTATAAACATTGCCACACGTTCCCCAAAGGTGATGGGAGGGAAGGCGTAGGTAAACACCACAGGGAAATCTGTGTTGAACAAGCCACTATTAGTTATGGAGCAGCTGAGAATTACATTGAAAAATATCTGTTGAACATCTTGGTCCTACATAAAATAAATGTTTTGTAGAATTCTGGGCCCAATACAGTGCTATCTTTCCAGAAAATGAACTTGTTCAGAACCAAGATTTACTGATTTCCTTGCCTTACCAATCAGTCACCAAATCATGTTATTTATCTTTCATATCATCTTCTTTCTTAATTTCTCTGCCACTGGTCCACTAATTACCTGTAGTAATGAATCACAGCCACAGCTGTTTTATTTCCATTTAACGTGCCAACTAACTCATGTCTTTCAGTCTCCCACTCCCAACAATACCAGCAGGCATTAAATTACCAGCCTTGGCCAGAGGTAGAACTCTCGGTTTTGTAGTCAATTCTCCTCAGAAAGGGAGAAACCAAGAAAATGACATTCTCATACAGACAGTTTGCAAAAAATGAGCAGGTCCCCAGACGTTGAGTAGAGACCTTCACAAAACACCCTTTGCCCTTTAGAAATGATGGCAGAGAGGAGTGCACCCTGGATCAAACAATGTCTATCTTTTTATTCCTAAATTAACTAAGCACTTTCTTTACAGAGAGAAAGTTAAAAAATAAACATGTGTGAAGTTGCTGTCACTGTGGCTTGCATGGTTAGCACTGTAATCCATGCTTAAGTGTCCCACTTAGGGTTGACAGATTTGGCAAAGAAAATCAGAGGATGCCCAGTTAAATTTGAATTTCCAATAAATTATGGTTGTGTATCTGAAATTCGGATTTAACTAGGAACCTGTATTTTATTTGGCAACCCCAGGCCAACTTGCTAGTCAAACCTCAGAAGGAGTGATTTAATACTTCTTGTCTTCTTCAACACATGCCCATGATAGACATATAAAAGTTTTACAATGATAAATGCAAAATGAGCGAAAGTTTCTCCTATACAGGCCAGGTGCAGTGGCTCACGCCTATAATCCCAGCACTTTGGGAGGCCGAGGCGGGTGGATCACGAGGTCAGGAGATGGAGACCATCCTGGCTAACACAATGAAACCCCCGTCTCTACTAAAAATACAAAAAAATTAGCCGGGCATGGCGGTGTGCACCTGTAGTCCCAGCTGCTGGGGAGGCTGAGGCAGGAGAATGGCATCAACCTGGGAGGCAGAGCTTGTAGTAAGCCAAGATCGCGCCGCTGCACTCCAGCTCAGGTGACAGAGAAAGACTCCATCTCAAAAAAAAAAAAAAAAGAAAAAGAAAAAGAAAGGTTTTCCTATACATTGAAACTAGCAGCCCTTGAATCTCTGCCCCTACTCTAAGAAACAACCTGGTTCATATGAATATCAGAAATTTTGTCAATAATTCAGGCACAATCTAGTCGCTATTCACTAATGATGGACAGACTCTCAAACTGTAGAATCAGAAAATCCGAATGGAAACATGACCTCTTCTACTTGGGCCAATTTTTACCAACCGTAAGCCTTTTTGTAATGTATCAAATGCATTTAATAATAGTATAATCCTCGCAGGATTATTGTTAAGTGTAAAATTAGATAATGACTCTTCTTAGCACTGATCACATAATAAACACTCAAATATATCCCCATTTTAATTTTTATGATCCTGTAACTGCAGCTCACATTACTTTTTCTATTCCTTGATTCTAAAGCAATTAGTATATTCATCATGATTTTGCAATTGTCTTCTGTTCTTCTATTAGTTTCATAAAGAATTGTCATTCTGACAATATAGGGCAGAATCACTGGTTTATGTCTAATAATGCAGTATACCTAAACAAACCTCACACAAAAGGCATCTGCTGACATAGAAAAAAGGGACTTTCTACATGCTCAGATTTAAACTGCAATCTGATTTCCAGCACTAAATTTGTAACACTGGGTTTTACTTATATCCTCTCAATTTTAGATTCCAGAGATGCATATGTTTTTAAATACCACAGATACAACAGGATCATTATTGAAATTGCATACTGAAAATCATAGGCCTGGTACACAGTCACTGCAAAATGTTACATGGCATACACTGATGGAGACCAGATTCATTTTATTCATCACTTCATTCTCATGACCTAGAGTAATAGCTAGTGTATTCAAAGTCACTAATAAATATGGGCTGTGTGAAATATTGGCTGTGTGACCTTTTGCATGAGCAGTCACCACTGCACACAGGGACCCTCTAGTATTTCCTTGCCACTAATGACTGAGCATCACAGGTCCTCCTGCTTTTCTTCAGCCTCTTTAGCATTTTCCTTTAGATCCAGCTGGATCCCTGAACCCAGAACACAGTCCTTCCCTGAAGCTCACTACTCAAAACAGTCAACCTTAACCTCATCCTCACTCCTACTCGCTCTTCAAAGGATCCAATCCAGTTTTCATCCTGGATATTCCACTGACTGCAAATATCAACTCCACCAAACCCAGCATTTGCTTCTGTTTTACATTCTCACTTCACTCTCCTCTTAGTGGCACTCACCACAATTGACCTCTCCTGTCTCCTTGAAAAAAATCTATTTTCCTTGACTGACATGCATTATGTTCTCTTGGTTTTTCTCCAACATCCCTGGGCTCTTTTTCAGTCCTTTGCTGGCCTGTGCCCTCTTTTTTCTCCACACAATCTATCTCGCTGTCACCTCTTCCACTCCCTGGAATTTAACACAGTACACGTATTGATGCCGCCAACATAAATACCTCCAGCCCTGGCCTCACCATGAGTCTCTTAAATGCCATTGATCTTCTGATTGCTCCACATAAGTATCAATAAATCATCTCAAACTTAAACAAAACTTTTATTTCCAACTTTTATTCCAATAAATATTTCCAAAATATTTATTTTTTATTTCCACCCACTTCAAATCATTTCCTCCCACAGTTTTTCCTATCTCAGTAAACAACACCACAATCCACTTATTTGTCAAAACAAAATCCTTAGGAATAAGCTTGATTTTCTACTGCCTTTACAATAATCCATTAACAAGTGAAGCAAAATACATGCCGAGTCTGTCCACTTTATCTTTTTCACTGTCTTTATCACTAATGCACTGCATGAAGCCGCAAGCCTGTTTTCGCTGAGGATTCCCTGCTCTGCTCCTAAAGTCTTCCTGACCATTTGTGAACCCCAACAATCCAATCCCCACAGAGTAACTAGAATTAGTTTTAAAAACTGAATATAAATGGACTCTCCTTGTAACCATCCAGTAGCTTCCCATATCTATTCACATAAAATTCAGGCCAGGCGCGGTGGCTCACGCCTGTAATCCCAACAGTTTGAGAGGCCAAGACAGGCAGATCACCTGAGGTCAGGAGTTCAAGACCAGCCTGGACAATATGGTGAAACCTCATCTCTACTGAAAATACAAAAAAATTAGCCAGGCATGGTGGGTGGGCACCTATAATCTCAGCTACTTTGGAGGCTGAGGCTGGAGAATCACTTGAACCGAGAAGGCGGAGGTTGCAGTGAGCTGAGACCACACAACAAGAATGAATCTCCGTCTCAAAATAAATAAATAAATAATAAAATAAAATAAAATTCAAATTTCTTACCATGGACATCAGAGCCTAATATGATGAGGCTTCTGACTACCTCTTTGTGTTCTACCTCGTCTTCTGCCCTTCCATTTCCTTGCTTGCTATACATCAGACCCTCTAGCCTTCTTTCTGTCCCTGGACATAATTTCTCACACCAGGGCTTCCCCCCATGCTGTCTCCCTGGAACTTTCGTTCCTTAGATTGTCACATGACTGTCTACTTATTTTGTTGTCTCATCTGAATGTCACTTTCTCAGGTAGAGCTGCCTAAACACATGAACTAAAGTTTGGTGAATCCATTTCTCTCTTTTCCACAAACCTGATGTCTTTTCTTTAGTGCACTATTACTATCTGAAATTTTCTTTTTTGATAAATGATTATTGGGTTATTTTTTATCTCCTCTACTCTTGTGTAACTTCCATGAGAGTAGCGACCCTCTCTATCTTAATCAAATAGAATGATTTGAACCTAGAATAGAGCCCAGTACACAGTAGCTGCTGAGAAAAATAAGTGTGCTTTACATGAATAAACCAGGGTTCTGGGAACTGATCACTGCAGGGATCCTGGAAAGCAAGAAGGGGCTCAAGCTCAAGCACTCTTTCATTTTGATGTCATACTACACCCCTTCTCTTCCCAGTGTGAAATACAGGCAAACTTCTTCTTTCTCCTCCTTCTAGGTGGAAGAAGAATTCACAGATAAAGAAACAGTGATTTAAGCAAAAAGAAATTTTTTTATTAAGATTCATCTCTTTTTGCCTGGGTGGAGTGGCTCACACCTATAATCCTTGCACGTTTGGAGACCAAAACAGGAGGATTGCTTGAGTCCAAGAGTTTAAGACCAGCCATAGCAACATGGCAAAACCTCATCTCTACCAAAATTACAAAAATTATCTGGGCATGGTTGCCTGTTGAAGTCTCTGCTACTCTGGAGGCTGAAGAGGAGGAACCCTTGAGCCTTGGAGGTGGAGGTTGCAGTGAGCCTAGATGGCACCACTGCACTATAGCCTGGGTAACAGAGCCAGGCCCTGTCTTCAAAAAAAAAAATCTCATTTAATGGATCTCATAGTGCCCTGGCTCTGTGCAAACTTTAGGGATTTCTGGAAATGATGACAACATAGCTGAAGAAAAATAGAGAGAAACTGGAGGAAGAGGCAAGTGAACATGGCTAATTAAGGAAAGCTGAGGGCATGATGAATGAAACTATGAAATTTAGGAAAAGACCACAGTAAGACAATGAGTTCCCAGGAGTTGCTCATTGACTTTCAGCCCTATGAGATGTGGACAATGTCCACATCGTCTCTGCAACCCCACACAGAGTATATAGTTTGAACATTATTAAATTTCAGATATTTTACTATTTTTGACGTACAAAAATAGAATTTTATATAATTTATCCTATGTTAGTTGAATCTCTTCTTGTCATGTCTAGTTAGAACATGTAGGAGTTGTAGGAGAAACTAGTATAGAACAGTTAAAAAGGATTCAAAATAAACACTAGTGACTTAAGTTTTTTTTTTTTTTTTTTTTTTTTTTGAGAGGGAGTCTCACCCTCTCGCCCAGGCTGGAGTGCAGTGGCATGATCTTGGCTCACTGCAACTTCCGCCTCCTGGGTTTAAGTGATTCTCCTGCCTCAGCCTCCAGAGTAGCTGGGATTACAGGTGTGCGCCACTACCCCGGCTAATTTTTGTATTTTTAGTAGAGATGACGTTTCACCATATTGGTCAGACGGATCTCAAACTCCTGACCTTGTGATCCGCCCACCTCCATGTCTCAAAGTGCTGGGATTACAGGCGTGAACCACCATGCCTGGCCAGATGCCTTAAGTTCTTTAGGTACCGAAGAATACCTCATAAATACTCTTTATCTGATCTAAGTACTAAAGATCTCAGCTTCCGCTCCAAGGATTTTTTCCCCCTAAGAAAGAAAGAGCACTTAGTATAACTTCTGTCAGAGAATCTACATACATGTACAGGGATACAGGCTTTATAAACATTGGAGTTCAGAAAGAAAAGAAAGGAGATAATGGGGAGGTCACTGGGTACATCCTCACATATGAGGAAGAAGGGCCAACACCACAGGTCCTTTGGAGGACATAACACAGGATCATCTAGGAGAGACCTTTTGAATTCCCTTGACTCCCACAAAGTTTTCAGAAAATCCTCGTTTTGTCTGGCATAAGTCAACATGATAAAGGGAAGTGCTGTATGGGGAATTTATTTTAGCATCCTTATTTCTAAATCCTCTAAAGACCCTGAGGAAATGTGATGCAAAGGTTTTATTGGTGGAGATTTGAAAAGAAATGGCCTGTATGGAAGTTCCTTACACAAACCTCATGGAGAGGGCAAGTACCAAGCTCCTTTTGTGGTGGAAATAACTTAGGATCCCGTGATAAAGATAGGCAATCTCTGAAGAAAACGTCACAATCTCTTAAGGGACATTGCCTGGGCACGGTGTTAACAAAACTCCCTATTTTCCTGACCTCGTAGTAGCTCAGCACCCACAATGTGCACTTGCGTCGGGTGTCCCCAGCCAAAGCCAGTGGGGAGCTCAGCACCATCAGTGTCACTGTCAGAGCTGCCATGCAGGAGCCTCCAGGGGGCTTCAGACACACCATGCTAAGGAACATGACAGGTCCAGGGCCCAGAGGGGCAGTCAAGTCTCACTCAGCGAGAACTATGACCCTGCTCCACCCATATTCCAAATTATAGGGAGGAAGTTATTGATTTCCTTGCTCCTGGATTGGGTAATCTAGTGTTGGAGAATGAATCAGCGTCTGAGTTCAACAGCATCATCAGTTGCTGGTCAGAGATGCTGTATGAAGGTCCTTTTCTGAAACAGAATTTACTTCTTTAAAGAATTTTTTTTACGAATTATTTTTTTTATTATACTTTAAGTTCTAGGGTACATGTGTACAACGTGCAGGTTTGTCACATAGGTATACATGTGCCATGTAGGTTTGCTGTACCCATCAACTCATCATTTACATTAAGTATTTCTCCTAATGCTTTCCCTTCCCCAGCATCCCACCCCCTCAACAATAGGCCACGGTGTGTGATGTTCCCCACCCTGTGCCCATGTGTTCTTGTTGTTTGGTTTTCTGTCCTTGTGATAGTTTGCTTAGAATGATGGTTTCCAGCTTCATACATGTCCCTGCAAAGAACATGAACTCATCCTTTTTTATGGCTGCATAGTATTCCATGGTGTATATGTGCCACATTTTCTAAATCCAGTTTATCATAGATGGGCATTTGGGTTGGTTCCAAGTCTTTGCTATTGTGAATAGTGCTGCAATAAACATACGTGTGCATGTGTCTTTATAGCAGCATGATTTATACTCCTTGGGTATACACCCAGTAATGGGATCGCTGGGTCAAATGATATTTCTAGTTCTAGAACATTGAGGAATCACAACACTGTCTTCCACAATCGTTGAACTAATTTACACTCTCACCAACAGTGTGAAAGCGCTCCTATTTCTCCACATCCGCTGCAGCAGCTGTTGTTTCCTGACTTTTTAATGATCGCCATTCTAACTGGCATGAGATGGTATCTCATTGTGGTTTTGACATGCATTTCTCTGATGACCAGTGATAATGAGCATTTTTTCATGTGTCTATTGGCTGCATAAATGTCTTCTTTTGGGAAGCGTCTGTTCATATCCTTTGCCCACTTTTTGATGGGGTTGTTTGTTTTTTTTTCTTGTAAATTTGTTTAAGTTCTTCATAGATTCTGGATATTAGCCCTTTGCCAGGTGGGTAGATTACAAAAATTTTCTCCCATTCTGTAGGTTGCCTGTTCACTCTCATGATAGTTTCTTTTGCTGTGCAGAGGCTCTTTAGTTTAATTAGATTCTATTTGTCTATTTTGGCTTTTATTGCCATTGCTTTTGGTGTTTTAGTCATGAAGTCCTTGCCCATGCCTATGTCCTGAATGGTATTGCCTAGGTTTTCTTCTAGTGTTTTTATGGTGCTAGGTCTTACATTTAAGTCTTTAATCCATCTTGAGTTAATTTTTGTATACGGTGTAAGGAACAGATCGTTTCAGCTTTCTACATATGGCTAGCCAGTTTTCCAAGCACCATTTATTAAATAGGGAATCCTTTCCCCATTTCTTGTTTTTGTCACATTTGTCAAAGATCAGATGGTCATAGATGTGTGGTGTTATTTCTGAGGACTCTGTTCTGTTCCATTGGTTTATATCTCTGTTTTGGTACCAGTACTATGCTCTTCTGGTTACTGTAGCCTTGTAGTATAGTTTGAAGTCAGGTAGCGTGATACCTCCAGCTTTGTTCTTTTTGCTTAGAATTGTCTTGGCTATGCAGGCTCTTTTTTGTTCCATATGAACTTTAAAGTAGTTTTTTCCAATTCTATGAATAAAGTCATTGGTACTTGATGGGGATGGCATTGAATCTATAAATTACCTTGGGAAGTATGGCCATTTTCAAGATATTGATTCTTCCTTCACTTATGAAGCTTAGTTTGGCTGGATATGAGATTCTGGGTTGAAAATTCTTTTCTTTAAGAATGTTGAATATTGGCCCCCACTCTCTTCTGGCTTGTAGGGTTTCTGCCAAGAGATCTGCTGTTAGTCTGATGGGGTTCCCTTTGTGGGTAACCCGAGCTTTCTGTCTTGCTGCTCTTAACATTTTTTCCTTCATTTCAACCTTGGTGAATCTGACAATTATGCATCTTGGGGTTGCTCTTCTTGAGGAGTATCTTTGTGGTGTTCTCTGTATTTCCTGAATTTGAATGTTGGCTTGCCTTTCTAGGTTAGGGAAGTTCTCCTGAATAATATTCTGAACAGTGTTTTCTATCTTGGTTCCATTCTCCCAATCACTTTCCGGTATACCAATCAAACATATATTTAGTCTTTTCACATAGTCCCATATTTCTTGGAGGCTTTGTTCATTTGTTTTTGCTCTTTTTTTCTCTAATCTTGTCTTCTTGCTTTATTTCATTAATTTGATCTTCAATCACTGATATCCTTTCTTCCACTTGATTGAATCGGCTGTTGAAGCTTGCGCATGCATTACGAAGTTCTTGTGCCGTAGTTTTCAGCTCCATCAGGTCATTTAAGGTCTTCTCTACACTGTTTATTCAGTTAGCCATGCATCTAACCTTTTTTCAAGGTTTTTAGCTTCCTTGTGATGGGTTAGAACATGCTCCTTTAGCTCGGAGAAGTTTGTTATTACCAACCTTTTGAAGCCTACTTCTGTTTACTCGTCAAACTCATTCTCCATCCAGTTTTGTTCCCTTGCTGGCAAGGAGCTCTGATCCTTTGAAGGAGAAGAGGTGCTCTGTTTTTTGGAATTTTCAGCTTTTCTGTTCTGGTTTCTCCCCATTTTTGTAGTTTTATCTACCTTTGGTCCTTGATGTTGGTGACCTACAGATGGGTTTTGGTGTGGATGTCCCTTTTGTAGATGTTGATGCTATTCCTTTCTGTTTGTTAGTTTTCCTTCTAACAGAAAGAACCCTCAGCTGCAGGTCTGTTGGCATTTGCTGGAGGTCCACTCCAGATCCTGTTTGCCTGGGTATCACCAGCGGAGGCTGCAGAACAGCAAATATTGCTGCCTGATCCTTCCTCTGGAAGCTTTGTCCCAGAGGGGCACCCACCTGTTTGAGGTGTCTGTTGACCCCTACTGGGAGGTGTTTCCCAGACAGGCTACATGGGGGTTAGGGACCTGCTTGAGGAGGCAATCTGTCCGTTCTTGGAGCTGGAACGCCATGCTGAGAGAACCACTGCTCTCTTCAGAGCTGTCAGACAGGGACGTTTAAGTTTGTAGAAGCTGCCTGCTGCCTATTGTTCAGCTATGCCCTGCCCCCAGAGGTGGAATCTGTAGAGGCAGTAGGCCTTGCTGAGCTGCAGTGGGTTCTGCCCAGTTTGTGCTTCTTGGCCGCTTTGCTTACTGTAAGCTACTCAAGCTTCAGCAATGGTGGATGTCCCTCCCTCTGCCCCCCCCCCGCCCCCCGCCGTGCCCTGTCAAGCTGCAGCATCACAGGTTGATCTCAGACTTCTGCACTAGCAGTGAACAAGGCTCCATTGGCATGGGACCCACCGAGTCAGACAAAGGAGGGTATCTCCTTGTCTGCTGGTTGCTAAGACCATGGGGAAAGCACAGTATTTGGTCAGGAGTGTACCATTTCTCCAGGTACAGTACACGTCTTCTGTCATGGCTTCCCTTGGCTAGGAAAGAGAAATCCCCCGAGCCCTTGCGCTTCCTGGTTAAGGCGATGCCCCGCCCTGCTTCAGCTCGCCCTCCATGGGCTGCACCCAATGTCCAACCAGTCCCAGTGAGATGAACCAGTTACCACAGTTGGAAATGCAGAAATCACCCAACTTCTGCGTCAATCTTGCTGGGAGCTACAGACCGGAGCTCTTCCTAAGGATTGTTTTAATTTAATACTTCATTGGTTTGATCCACTTACAAGTAAGACACTTTAATTGAGCCCCTATTGTTAGCCGGCTCTGTGCTGGTCAGTGATGTGTTCACAAGTTTGAGCCTTGTAAGAGCATTCATTTCTCACTTGACAAGACAACTGTTTGCAGGAGTGAGTGTGTGAGTGTGTTTAGGAATAAAGGAGATGGAGGGAACATGGTTGCAAATTTGGAGACTTTAATCTGATCCTTATTGTACCATATCTTAATGTTGTAGATTTCAGAAAATTATTTCATGTCTCACAGTTGAAATAAAGACACTATGTTCTTTCAGGTCTTTCAATACTGGAAAATGCTGTGATTCTCTGGACGCCTCAAGGAGCAGCAGCCCCGGGTATCTGATGATATGACAGAATGACAGCTGTTGACTAGAGAGTTTAATCTCTACCTATTTACAGGTAGGGATGCCTTCAATAAAGTTAAAGTAAACTGAAAGTTTGTGAATAATTTAATCTGAGTAAAAACATTTTTCAGCAGGGTGAGGTGGCTCATGCCTGTAATCAAAGCACTTTGGGAGGACAAGGCGAGCGGATCACAAGGTCAGGATATTGAGACCTTCCTGGCTAACACAGTAAAACCCCACCTCTACTAAAAATACAAAAAATTAGCCTGGCATGGTGGCAGGCACCTGTAGTCCCAGCTACTCGGGAGGCTGAGGCAGGGGAATCACTTGAATCTGGGAGGTGGAGATTGCAGTGAGCCAAGATCACACCACCGCACTCTAGCCTGGGCAACAGAGCGAGACTCCATCATGGAAAAAAAAAAAAAAGTTTTTTCAAGCGTGTCTCCTGATGCTGCCCCCAAGTTTAATGGCAGCTCCAGAACATACACAGGCAAGGGGCTTGCAGGGGCCACCTATGTGCAATGGAGGTTCTGAAGGTGCCTTTGTATAGCACTTACTCTAACAATGTGACAAGGTCAACTGTGCAATCAAAGAATTTAGGGGTTCGAGAGATCGATCAAGGACTCAAAGTCAGCTGTTGACAGAACAACTCTGTTTTAAAATAATTAATATTTTATGTGAAGAGTGTTCAATCCCTCATTCCTGGTTCCCACTGTGATTTTCTCATTTGATTGAGGCTATGGCCCGTTACTATTATGCTCTTTTGTTTTATCATAAGGGAAGATATAAGAAGACTGTGCTAACTAATACGTTACAGAATGTTCAGGAAAGAGAGCCCTAGGGAAAAACTATGAATTACATCAGTTGATGTAATCATGTAATTTTAAACATATAATTCTACATTTAGATAATTATTATCCCTTATATTAATATAAATGTGACATCTAAGATTCAGAATGGACCTCAAAGTGCAACTATACATATAAATTTCTGCATTTAAATGCTACAATGAAAATGAGCATTTTACTTTGTTCTCAGAATTGTACTAAGGGATTTCTATACTTCATATTTTTTTTAATTCCCACATCAGCTCAGTAAAATAAACACCCTTTTCATGCTTACAGGTGGAAAGAGTAAAATGATGGAGATAAAACAACTTTTGCAAAGATATAAAGCTAGTAAATGGTACACTATAGGTTGAACCAAATTATATACCTGCAGGGGTCTGTCCCACAGACCCTGACCCAACAATGGGTGAATAATGTACACTGACATAGATATTATGCTTGTCAGTCTGGCTGAGAGTCCGGGCCGCTTACAGACTCCCAGGAGAGTGCTGTGAAGAGTTGCAACCGTGGCCCCAACTCACTGGCCCTCCAGGCATTTATTCAGCACACATTAAATGACAATAGTCTAAAGTAAACACCACTGCTAGGTAATTACAGTTGCTGACCCCAAGTAGAGAGCAATCATGCAACCTTGGATGGTCAAAGGTTAGTCTTAGGGCCACATAAGTAAACAAGCTATTTAGATAGACTCCCCTATATTACTATGTTAATTACCCTTGCTATAGCTCAAAAAGGATTAGGCTGCCTTCAGCTGTAACTCTAACCTGAGGCTTTTGCAAAAACCTTCCGGGTTTCCAAGAAGGTTTGTGTTTATTTTACAATTTTTCACACTGTCCTGACTGAACCCCTACATTTCCCCCTCAAGCTCAGCCACTATATCATACTCCTTCACATTCTATTTCTGAGAACAATGTCCCTTGTATTAAAATTATTTGCATCCCTTTAATTTATGGATGTGCATAGCAATAAGACTACTTCTTTTAATGAACGGCAGCATTATACAATTGGAGGAAGATACTGTGTAGCAATTCTATTTCTTTAAAAGGATTCCTCTCATCATCATCCTTACCCTCCTCTTGAAATGGCAACATTTGCATTTATCTTATGTGATGACACCCATAGCTTCTGAAAAGTCTCCTTATTAAAGGTAACAGTGACCTCAAAATTCCCAAATAGAAACTATTGCTCAGAATTATTATTTAGATTTCTCATCATAAAGTAGTAAATTTGATCATCATAAAGTAGAAGAAAAAAATGCCTCATTTACTTTGGAAAAACACACTTCTATTAATATACAAAGTTCAAAATCTCTTGGGTAAAATCACTATTTTCCCTGGATTTGAGAATAAACTATGTCCTACTTTAGATTTCTTACTACTTTAGATTTCTCATCATAGAGTAGTAAATTTGATCATCATAAAATAGAAGAAAAAAATGCCTCATTTACTTTGGAAAAACACACTTCTATTAATATACAAAGTTCAAAATCTCTTGGGTAAAATCACTATTGTCCCTGGATTTGAGAATAAACTAAAGGATTATTAAAAAATAATCCATATGATACCAGTACACTCAGCCCAGTACAATACAAATTAGTGTATTTTGGTAAGAAAGACTTGTTAATAGACATAGCAATTTTTGGTTATAGACTCTTCTGGTACTTGGTAGTATGGGCTTGTACATACGTAAAGCTAGGCCCCTAAGATTTTTGGGTAATTACATGTCTCCAGTTTGTTGGAACTGTCATGCTGTCTTTATCAGTTTCCAAAGGAACTGACCAGTTTATCTTTATCAATTTCCAAAGGAACGTCCCAATAATAATTCAATACTATTGGAAGTTGTGCAATTGCAACCAGAACATCAATTTAATTTGGTCAACAGAAAATGATAATTTACTTAGAAACTAATTTGGTCCCAGCTACTCAGGAGGTGGGAGGATTGCTTGAACCTGGAAGGTCCAGGCTGCAGTGACCCAAGATCATGCCACTGCATTCCAGCCTGGGAAACAGAGGGAGAGCCTGTCAAAAAAAAAAGAAGGAAGGAAGGAAGGAAGGAAAGAAAGAAAGAAAGAAAGAAAGAAAGAAAGAAAGAAAGAAAGAAAGGAAGGAAGGAAGGAAGGAAGGAAGGAAGGAAGGAAGGAAGGAAGGAAGGAAGGAAGGGAAAGGAAAGGAAAGGAAAGAAAAGAAAAGAAAAGAAAAGAAAAGAAAAGAAAAGAAATTGTGAAAAAATAAAGAAACTAATTGTGAGGATGGTAATCTAAGAAAGCCAGCTAAGGTTCATGATGACACCCACCCAGGCCTCCCCTGCTCCATACAGGCAAGGGGGAGCCCCAGGCACCCCTGAGTGCTATAGGAAGAACTTGCAAAGACATTACCCTTGCCCCAGATGCCCAACTAAGCCCAGCAAGGGGAGCTGCCCACCCCACACTGTGAAAAGGTGTGACAGGGGCTACCTGTAGGCTCCACGGAGTGGGTGAAAGCCCCACCCTCCCCACAGCAGGATCCAGGCCTCTCTGCACTCTGTGCACTCAAGGCTGAGAAGGCGCCCCGTCCCTGCAGGCTTGGGGGTGTCTACTCCCACTGCCTGGCCTCTCTGGTCTCCCAGGCATGCACTCTGATGTAAGAGTGGAGTTGGGGCTAAGCCCCGGTACTGTCACAGCCTGGCAGGGTGTGTGCATGCTCAGGGCAACATTGACACACCAGCCTCCTGCCATCTCAGCCATGGGGAATCTGAGGGGAGATGGGTTGAGGGTAACTGGCACTGGCCTACAGGTGCCCCTTGCCATGAGCAGCCTGGGCGCCAGGGAGGGCCTGAAGGCTGTGGGCTGGGCTGCCAGTCCTGCTGACAGGAGTGGGAACTTGTGCCTTATCTGGGCCTGCCCCATAGCCGTCCATGATGTGCACTTCCTCCCCTCTGAGGCCCGTAAAAGCCCTGGGCTCAGGCAGACGTGAGCAGAAGATGGAGAGAGCGGAGAGAGAGGACAGGGAGATTAGGGATGACCTGCTGCAGAGAGGAGTTGCCCTCCCCAGGGTCTCCTCTCAGCGGTAGAGTGGAGCTGCCCTCACCAGTGTCTCCTGTCTGCTGAGAACTAAGGAAAGGACAGGATGATCAGCTGCAGAGAGAAGCTACCCTTTCTGCTGAGAGCTGAACAGGTGTCTGGACAACCTGGCTATGGAGAGGAGCTGCCCACTGAGGGTCTCTGAGCTGTCCTATTGCTTAATAAAGCTCCTCTTTATCCTGCTCATCCTCCACTTGTCTGCATACCTCATTCTTCCTGGACACAGGACAAGAACCATGGATCTGCCAAATGGTAAGGCAGAAACCTCAAACACAAAGAGGGCTGAAAATGCCCCTTGCTTGCCATGTCGTGGGCAAGACGTGTCTCTTCAGAGAGCCCAAATCTTGGAGCTCAGAGCCAGGGATTTGACCACCTTTTTGGGGCCTGTGGTTCCCGGGGTCTCCAAGCTTCCAGGTGCCACCACTTTCCCCAGTGCCGGCTGTGGAAGTTGCTTGCAGTGCGCCTGGTTCCAGCTGCAGCCTCACAGGGAGCTGGCACCCATGCCGTCTCCCAGAGCTGCCTGCCCTATACAGCCAATATGCCTGGCTGTGCACAGTGGCTGGACCCCTGCTCACTTGCTCACACATCCCTCACTATGTGAATCACACTTGGCAGGTGTGGGATCCAGGCTGGTAGTGTGAGCAGAGCAGAGCCTGCCAGCCAAAGTGGGTGGAATGAGCCCAGCTAGCCTGAGCAAGACTCAGGCAAAGGCATTACCAGCCCCAAGATTCTGGCAAGAAAAGTGAAACCCAGTGATCCCTTATCAGTTATATGGTTAGGCTGGCTCTGTTTCCCCACCCAAATCTCATCTGGAATTATAATCCCCATAATCTCCACATGTCCAGGGTGGGACCTGGTGGGAGATTACTGGATCATGGGTGCGGTTTCCCCCATGCTGTTTTGTAATAGTGAGTGAGTTCTCATGAGATGTGATGGTTTTATGTGTTTGACAGTTCCTCCTATGGGGTCCATACTCTCTCGCCTACTGCCATGTAAGATGGGCCTCTTCCCCTTCTGCCATGATTGTAAGTTTCCTGAGGCCTTCCCAGCCACGCAGAACTGTGAGTCAATTAAACCTTTTTTCCTTTATAAATTTCCCAGTCTCATGTATTTTCTTATGGCAATGTAAAAACAGACTATTACAGGTGGCAAAGAAAAGTAATTCTTTATCAATAGCATACTGAAATAGGGTTAAAGGGAGCACTTTGAAAACTTGTTCCAATCCTTTTATTATCACTATGCAATGCTTCTGGAATATACTGCATAGGATTCTTTCTGTACTATGGAATTTTCTAAACATTCTGTGGGGACATTTTCCATGTACTTACTGCTTCAAGTTTCTTCAAATAGTGATTTTTCTGAATATACTATACTATTCTGATGGTTCTTGGGTGAATTTTCCGATTTGCAGTGAGGGGAGCTAGAGGATTTATGTGATCCCTGCATCCTGAATAGTCTGAATGTCGACTGTATCATATAAGCTCTGGAATTGTTAGAGTAGGCAGAGAGCCAGAAATGAGCAGGCAAGGGAGCCCCTGGGAAAAGAAGTCTTGGAGTCACTGCCCACTAATAATCAGCACTGCGCACTAATAGCAAAAAGGACAATGGCTACAATGGCTACATCTGGCCTTGTGGTTGGGCTCCTCCGGCCCTGGAGGGGACGTATCAGGTCCTAGCCAGAAACAGCCATGGCAGGGACTTCCTCCACTGACGAAATTGTGCACTCCTCCAATAACTTGCCCTAGAATAGCTTTTTGCTCATTATGGTAGTGAAAAACACAGCTCTGGGTGGAGATTTTAAATACTGAGACATGCAACATGTGTAGTAGCAAGTACAAGACAGAGCATGCGCACCCAAACGGTCCTCCTGAAACATGCTTGCAAGAGACACCCCCTCAGGCCCTTTCCTGAATAGTCATGTAAGATTCTCATAAAGAGAGTCCTTCAGCACTGGCTGCTGCTGGCTCCTTCTTTTGAACACCCCAGTCTGTCTCCTCTTTCAGAGCATACTGTCTCTAAATAAACACTGCTACCACTATTTTTCCAGTTGGAACAGCCCAGAACGGTTTTCTACTTCTCTCTAGGAATGTACTTTATCTTCCTTCAACAAACTCTGCTACTCAACCCTTCCTATGCATCCTTGGCTGATATTTTTCTTCTAAGTGAGACAAGAATGGGGGATTCGTGCACTTTTTAGTAACAGAATTAATCAGAAATATCCAGGCTCACTGGGCTTGGTTTCTTTCTGAGCATGTGCAGGCAATTCTATTGCTGTCGTCTAGTCTTCAGTAGGAAAACCATAAAGCATGGTTATTTCTGTTGGGAGACATCTACTGGGCAATGGGTTCAGAATAGGTTTTTGGTTCTTGAGTCTACAAGTCAACAACATATCTGTATCTTCAGTAGAGTGAATCTGAAACCCCAGGGTTTGGCCTCTGAGAATGGGTGAGACGGAGAGGAGAAATAGGGGGTAGACTGGGGAGTAGAATGAGAAGAGGACCCACAAATATGACAAGATTTACATATCATCATTGCTCACTCCAGACTTAGTGAGGAATGAGATCAGACACTGAAGATTGACATTGCCTGTTCTTTTTTTCCTTTATTTTTTTTCCCTTTCTTTCTTTTTTTTCAGACAGTGTCTCGCTCTGTCATCAGGCTGGAGTGCAGTGGCTTGATCTTGGCTCACTGCTACGAATACAGACGTGAGCCACCGAGCCTGGCCAGGTCAATTTTTACCAACCATAAGTCTGTAATCCCAGCACTTCGAGAGGCTGAGGTGGGCAGATCACAAGGTCAAGAGATAGAGACCATACTGGCCAACATGGTGAAAACCCGTCTCAACTAAACATACAAAAATTAGCTGGGCATGGTGGTGTGTGCCTTTAGTTTCAGCTAGTCGGGAGGCTGAGGCAAGAGAATCACTTGAACCCAGGAGGAGGATTGCCGTGAGCCGAGATCGCACCACTGCACTCCAGTCTGGTGACAGAGCAAGACACTGTCTGAAAAAAATAAAGAAAGAAAGAAAAGAAAAGGAAAAGGAAAAGCCTTGGATGCCTGTTTTATTACCAGGAAAACAGTCTGACTTGTTACTGAAACCATCATATATTTGGACATGTATATTTAAGTAGAAAAACTGAGTAATGGGAACAGGGGCAGGATACAGCATTAAGATGAGAAGAGAATATTAGAAACACAGTGAGCTATTGCTCATTTATCTGTAAAAGTATGATGATACTTATTTCTAAAACGGTTATTAGAACCTACCACAAACCATAAAGATGAATTATCCATAACAGTGTGATAGACTGCAAGTAAATATTGAGTTAGATTTGGATTTCATCTGGGCTGTATCATTTACTAGCTATGTTTTCACTGGTATCTTACTTACCTTAGCCTTGGATTCCTCATAGAAATACTGATGTGAATTTTTACTACATTGAATTATCAGAATTAAAGGGAAAAAGTAAGCAAAGTAATTAGGTAACATGTTTGGTGATAATAACATACTGCAAAAACTATACTTTCCATTCTATTCCTCAAAATGTCTACGACATAATTATAAAAAATAAAACAAGCACACATAAAGACAGCATGACCTTGTAAGACTTACCAACAAATAACAAGTTTCTCTATCTATGGTTTAGAGAATCCAAGCAGAATTTTGAAAATATTATGGATAGAATAGGCATGAATGTTTTGTAACATATCTACAATTTTAATATAAAGTAAGTAGATGAGCAGTAGAAAATGCAGTCAAATGTAGAAAAATATGGAATGAAAAAGCAAAAATAAATCCATATCATTTCATGTAACAAGACCTTTTTTTAAAGTAGATTTAAGTGTACACAAAAATTGCAGAGGAATTTCAGGGAGTTCCCATATCCCCTCCTCCCTAAAACAGCCCTCTGCTCATTTTCTCCTATTATTAACATCCTATTTGAGTGTGGTACACTTGTTACAACTGATGAACCAATACTGGTACTTATTGTTAACTGAGGTCCATAGTTAAATTAGGGTTAATTCTTATTATATAGTTCTATGGGTTCTGATAAATACATAATGTCATATGTCCACCATTAAAGTGAAACTGACCCAAGAGTCCCATAGACAATTTTTAAAATAAACATAGAAATGGACACTTATCGTCTTTTCTGTTTGTTTTGTTTTGTTTTGTTTTGAGATGGCTTCTCACTCTGTTGCCCAGGCTGGAGTGCAGTGGCGCAATCTCAGCTCACTGCAAGCTCTGCCTCCTGGGTTCACGCCATTCTCCTGCCTTGGCCTCCCAAGTAGCTGGGACTACAGGCGCCCGCCTCCATGCCAGGCTATTTTTTTTGTATTTTTAGTAGAGACGGGGTTTCACTGTGTTAGCCAGGATGGTCTCCATCTCCTGACCTCGTGATCTGCCCGCCTCGGCCTCCCAAAGTGCTGGGATTACAGGCATGAGCCACTGCACCCAGCCTATCGTCTTAAAGCTTGAAACTTGTATTTGTTTTATCTGAGTTCCTTTCCAAAAAAAAAGATCCCCCAAGCCTCTCAAAAATAATCCAAGAACTGGAACTCACCAGATCATCTCATCCAGACAATGAGACTCCAGGTTCCTCATTCATCATGATTGTTCCCTTACCCCTCCCTGGTTCCTGTTTTTCCATACATAGTTACATTTCCTCCCTGCTGTATAAACCCCTAATTTTATTCAGTCACAGAAATGGCTTTGACGCTGGTCTCCTATCTCCTAAGCTGCAGCACCTGATTAAAGATTAAAACCTTCTTTGGCAATACTCATTGTGATCTCAGAGATTGGCTTTCTGTGTGGCAAGCAGCAAGACCCAGGCTGAAGCCCTCGTGTGCAAGACCTAGACTGAACTCCTGGTGTTTCAGTAAAAAGAGTATCCTATGAAGTAGTTTCACTGACCTAAAATTGCCCCAGGCTCCACCTACTCATCCATTCTTCCTCCTCCTGAACTCCTGGAAACCATTATTTACTGTCTGTATTTTTGCCTTTTCTAGAATGTTATATAGTTGTAATCATATGGTATATAGTTTTTTCAGACTGGCTTCTTTCACTTAACAGTATGCATATAGGTTTTCTCCATGTCTGTTCATAGCTTGATAGCTTATTTCTCTTTAATGTTGAATAATAACCCATGGTATGGATATACCACAATTTGTTTATCCATTCACCTACTGGAGCACATCTTGGTTGCTTTGGATTTTTGGCAATTATGAATAAAGCTGCTATAAACATTTGTGTACACTTGTTTGTATGGACCGAAGTTTTCCATTCATTTGAGTAAATACTTTGGATTGCAATTGCTGAATCTTATAACAGAGTATGTTTAGCTTTGAAAGAAACAGCCAGAGTGTCTTCCAGATGAGGCAGGAGAATAGGGTCTGGAGGCAGGGAACCTAAGGCCTCTATTCATGCTGACTTCTGAATAGAACTAAATTGAAAGGAAAACCCTAGCTTTCTATGCCTAAGCAACAAAAGGACCAGAGACTACTCCCTTTGCAAACCCCTACCTTTTCTGCAAGGCAGATGGGAAATTGAAAGTACCTCTGATTTGTTGTTTTTTGCAACCAATCAGATTTTTGCATAGGAGTGTAGCATTGTAACTTCATTTCGGCCTCGATTGGTTGTGGAATTATTTCCCTCAAAATTTCTACAGCCCGGTTATGAAAATCTAAGAAAAGCAAAATAAAACAAGCACAAACCAAGGTGCCATAACCTAGTAAGACTTACGAATAAATAACAAGTTTCTTTACCTATGGTTTAGAGAAAGCAGACTGTTGAGAATGTTGCAAATAGGATGTTTGTTAACATCTACAATTTTAATATAAAATAAATAGATGAACAATAGAGAATAAACTCAAACTCAGACAAGCATAGAATGAAAAGCAAAACTAAATCCATATCCTCCCATGTAACAAGACCATTTTTAAAGCAGTTTTAAGGTATAAAAAATTTTCAGAGAAAATTTAGGGAGTTCCCCATACCTCCTTCCCTAAAACAGCCCTCTGTTCAGTTTCTCCTATTATTAACATCCTGCATTAGTGTGGCATGCTTGTTACAATTAATGAACCAATACTGATACTTATTGTTAACTGAGGTTCATACTTATATTGGGGTTCACTCTATTACACAGTTCTATGGGTTCTGGAGATACACAATGTCATGTATCTACCATCAGTGTGAAACCAACCCAATAGTCCCATAAGATAGTTATTTGGATAAACGTAGAAATTGACCCCTCTGCTCTTAAAGCTTGAAATTTACATTGTTTTGTCTGAATTCCTTTCTCAAGAAAGGATGCTCAGGTCTCTCAACAATTATCAAATAACTGGAACTCACCAGATCATCACATCCAGATCATGAGATGCCAGTCCCCATCATTCATTATGATTGCTTCCTTATTGTCTGGAGTTCTTGTTTCCCCATACATAGCAACATTCCTTCTTTCTTTGCACATAAACCCCTAATTTTAGTCAGTCAGGGAGAGACTGATATCCCATCTACTCAGCTGCAGTGTCTGATTAAAGATTAAAGCCTTCTTCCTTGGCAATACTTGTCATCTCAGTGATTGGCTTTGTGTGTGGCCAGGGCAGGAGCTAGACAAACCCACGGTGTTTCAGCAACAAAAGCATCATACAAAGTAGTTTCCCTAACTATGCCTGAGGCTCAATCTACTCACCCATCCCTCCTCCTCCTGAACCCCTGGACTATTTACTGTCTGTATTTTTGCCTTTTCCACAGTGTCATATAGTTGTAATTATACAGTATAGAGCTTTTTCAGGCTGGCTCCTTCCACTTAGCAATATCCCTATAGGTTTCCTCCATGTGTTTTCATAACTTGATAGCTTATTTCTCTTTACTGTTGAATAATACTCCACGGTATGGATATATCACAATTTCTTTATCCACTCACCTGTTGAGGACATCTTGGGGGCTTCCAATTTTTGGCAATTATGAATAAAACTGCCATAAACATCCATGTACAGGTATTTGTGTGGACATAAGTTTTTCAGTCATTTGAGTAAATACTCAGAGGTGCCATTGCTGGATTATATGGTAAGAGTATGTTTAGCTTTGTAAGAAACAGCCAGTGTCTTCCAAAGTGGCTGTACTGTTTTGCATTCCTACCATCAATGAATCTGAGTCCCCGTTGTTCTACATCCTTGACAGCATTTGGTTTTGTGAGAGTTTTGGATTTCAGCCAAAAAGAAAAATGCTTTTTAAAAACTTTTTACTTGGAAATCATTATAGAGTCACAGGAAATTGCAGATGGTACAGAGAACACGTGTGCCCTTTCACCCAGTTTTTCCAAATGTTTATATCTTAAGTAGCTCTAGCACAGTAGCAAAACCAGGACTTTGGTAGAATATGTGTGCATAGTTCTATGCCTGTGTCTTATCATATTTGCAGATTTATGTAACCACCACGCAATCTAGAGCTATTCCATCCCACAGAGATCTCCCCTCATGCTGCCCTTCAGAGTCACACCCTACTCCCTACACACCATCACCCTGACAACTAACAACCACTAATCTCTTCTCCACCAATCTCTATAATAGTGTCCTTTTGAAAATGTTACGTAAATAGAATCACACAGTACGTGTCTTTTGTGACGGGCATTTTCCCCTCAGCATAATGTCCTTGAGATTCATCCAAGTTGTTACATGTATTAACAATTTGCTCTTTTTTATTGCTAAGGAATACTCCATCAGATGAAGGCACTGCAGTTTAACTCTTTGCCTGTTGAGGGATATTTTGGCTGTTTCTAGTTGTGGGGCTATTACAAATAAAGCTGTTATGAACATTTGCGTAAGATTTTTGTGTGAACATGTGTTTTTGTTTCTCTGATATAAATGTGTCAGAATGTAATTCCTGACTCATATGGCAAATATATGTCTAGTTCTTCAAGACACTGACTCACTATTTTTTAGAAGGACTGTACCATTGTACATTCTCACCATCAGTGTATGAGAAATCCAGTTTTTCTGCATGCTCACCAGCATTTACCATTGTCAGTTTTTTTAAAATTTTAGCTGTAGTAAGAAGTGTGTAGCACTATTACATTAAGTCCTTAATTTGCATTTCCCTGATGGCTAGTGATTTGCATGTCATTCATTGTGCTTATTTGCCATGTATATATATCCTCTTTGATAATATGTCTCTTCATATCTTTTGCCCATTTTGAAATTAAATTTTATAGTTTGCATTCTACCATAGATTTTATATTAGAGCTTTTATAGTTGATCGTATGTTCTAGATACTGTATTCTTGGTAATGTATGTGGTTTTAAATATTTTCTCCATAACTCTAGCTTGCTTTTCATTTCTTAGCAGGACACCTTACAGAACAAAAGTTTTCAATTTTGATAAAGCCCAATTTATTGATTTTGTTTGTTTATTTGTTTGTTTTTTGTTTTTTACACATAGCACTTTTGGTGTCATGTCTAAGAACTCAGAACTCAGACCCCCGGCCCTAGCTCCTGATGATTTTCTCATATGTTTTCTTCGAAAAGTTTTACATGTAAACATGATTTAATTGGGGTAAATGTTTTCATAAGGTGTGAGAATTTGTTAAGTTTGTTTCTTACTTCTTTTTCCTTTGAGTTCTTTTTTGTTTTTGTTTGGTTTTGTTTTTGTCTATGGATTTCCACTTTCTCCTAGACTATTGTTTGAAAAGACTATAGACTATATTATCTCCATTGAATTATTTTGCATCTTCATCGAAATGAGTTGGCATAAGTGTTTTTCTGGATTCTCCATACTGCTCCACCAATCTATGTCTATCCCTGTACTAATGTCAATCAATATTATTATAGTTATAAAAATTCTGAAATTTGGTTACAGTTAATTCTCCATCTCTTTTTCCCTATGAAATTCGTTTGACCTATACTAGTTCCCTTGCTTCTCCACAAACATTTTAGAACAACTTTGTCTACAACTATTACAAATCTTGCTGGAATTTAGAGAGAAATTGTGTTAAACCTGAATATCAAATTGGGTAGAATTGACATCTTTCTTATATTTAGTTTTCTAGTTGATGAACACAGTAAATCTCTCCATTTCTTTAGATTTTTTAATTTCTTTATCAGCATTTCAGCATATCGACTGTGTACATGTTCTGTTGGCATACTTATGAGGTTTTTTGAGTGAAGCTAATTCATGTTGTATTTTTAATATTTGTTTTGATTTATTACTGTATATTCCAATAAAATTGATTTTTTGGTTGATCTTGAATTCTGTGACCTTTGTGAATTTCATCATTAGCTGAAGCAGAAGAGGAAAAACTTTCAGTCTTCCACCCTTAAGTATAATTTAGCCGCAACATTTTTGTAGAAGTTATTTATCAAGTTGAGTAGGGCCTCCTCTATTCCTACTATTCAGAGGCTTTTTTGTTTTGTTTTGTTTTGTTTTTTACCATAAATGAACATTGAATTATGTTGAAGGTCGTTTCTACATCAATTGATAGAATCATTCAATGTTTCTTCTTTAGCTTGTTAATAAGATGGATGACACTGATTTCAAACATTAAACCAGACTTGCATCCCTAGAGTAAATGCTACTTGGCATAGTTTATATATTTTTTCAGTTTGGCAGATTTTTATTTGCTACTATTTTGTTAGGGAGTTTTGCATCTATAGTCAAGCAAGTATATTGCTTTTTAATTTTCTTTTGCTGTTCTATTTTTGTGTCCTTTTGATTTTAGGAAATGCTGGCCTCATAAAGTGAGTTGGGATGTGTTCCCTTCTCTTCTGTTTTCTGGAGGAAATTTTACAGGCTTGTCTTAATTCTACTGAAATGTTTGGTAGATTTCTCCTGTGAAACTATTCTGGCCTAGAGGTTTCTCTTTCAGCAGTCTTTATATTATAAGTTCAATTTCTTTCATAATTACACTGCTTTTCAATTTATCTATTTGATATTGAGTTAGTTGTAAAAGTGTGTACTTTTTAAGAATTTTTTTTTCCATTTCACCTAAGTGTTTTTGGTGTATTCCTCTGGTATACTATTGATGCCAAAGGATCTGTAGTGATATAACATGTTTCAATCCCAATATTGGTGTTTTTTCTCCTTTTTCCCTTTATTTTGTCTAGAAATTTGTGAGTTCTATTAATCTTTTCAAAGAAGAAAATTTTTTAGTTGTAAAAGTGTGTACTTTTTAAGAATTTTTTTTTCCATTTCACCTAAGTGTTTTTGGTGTATTCCTCTGGTATGCTATTGATGCCAAAGGATCTGTAGTGATATAACATGTTTCAATCCCAATATTGGTGTTTTTTCTCCTTTTTCCCTTTATTTTGTCTAGAAATTTGTGAGTTCTATTAATCTTTTCAAAGAAGAAAATTTTTCTTTCACTGGTTTTCTCTATTTTTTTTTTTTGAGATGGAGATTCACTCTTGTTGCTTAGGCTGGAGTGCAATGGTGCAATCTCGGCTCACCACAACCTCTGCCTCCCGGGTTCAAGCAATTCTCCTGCCTCTGCCTCCTGAGTAGCTGGGATTACAGGCATGCACCACCATGCCCAGCAAATTTTGTATTTTTAGTAGAGACGGTTTCTCCATGTTGGTCAGGCTGGTCTGGAACTCCAAAGCTTACAGAGCAACAATGGTTCGGCTTTTAATAAAAACCACAATAACTCAGGGAATTTCCAGGGCGCTAGGGACACAATATCACCTTCACTGGGCCTGGAGGCCACAATCCTCAGGGAAGGTTGAGAAGGCAAATGAATCACTTAAGAGGCACTTAAGAAAACTAACACAAGAAACTCATCTCCCATGGCCTACTCTTTTGCCCATGACCTTGCTGAGAATCCAAAATTCTCCTCACAAAATGGGGCTCAGTCCATACGAAATGCTGTATGGATGACCTTTTCTCACAAATGACCTCCTACTTGATCAGGAAATGGTCAACTTGGTCAAAGATATAATTTCTTTGGCAAAATATCATCAAAACCTTAAAAACCTACCTGAGGGATGTCACAGAGAAAAGGAAACAAGAGTTGTTTCAACCAGGAGATCTAGCGTTGATCAAATCTCTTCCCTCTACCTCCCCATCTATGGACTCTTTGTGGAAATGACCATACTCGGTAATCCTCTCTACCCCCACTGCAGTTAAGGTGGCGGGAGTGGAATCTTGGATTCACCACACCGGAGTTAAATTTTGGACACGCCCTGAGGAACCTGCGGGACCGTCCCAAGATCAGCCAGACCAGCCTCGATACACCTGCGAACGAGTGGAGGACTTGCATCTCCTATTTCGGAAGGAAACATCCCAGACTAAAAAAGCTCCTACTACTGATCCTGAAGAAAAAAACCCTTCCTTCTTAAAAAAGACAAGTGAAAACCTACATAATCTTTACTTTTAACACCTCTCCTTGCCCCTTTAATGGGATCCTTTTACTATTTCATCATATTATTAAGCAGCGTACTAACCATACTCTTTGTGATAGGACTATAAACTGTAGCTCCTGCCGGGACGAAAATCCTAATCACGTCAACCTTCCTTCTTTTTTTTTTTTTTTTTTTTTTAATTGATCATTCTTGGGTGTTTCTCAAAAGAGGGGGATTTGGCAGGGTCATAGGACAATAGTGGCGGGAAGGTCAGCAGATAAACAAGTGAACAAAGGTCTCTGGTTTTCCTAGGCAGAGGACCCTGCGGCCTTCCGCAGTGTTTGTGTCACTGGGTACTTGAGATTAGGGAGTGGTGATGACTCTTAACGAGCATGCTGCCTTCAAGCATCTGTTTAACAAAGCACATCTTGCACCGCCCTTAATCCATTTAACCCTGAGTGGACACAGCACATGTTTCAGAGAGCACAGGGTTGGGGGTAAGGTCACAGATCAACAGGATCCCAAGGCAGAAGAATTTTCCTTAGTACAGAACAAAATGAAAAGTCTCCCATGTCTACTTTCTACACAGACAGGGCAACCATCCGATTTCTCAATCTTTTCCCCACCTTTCCCCCCTTTCTATTCCACAAAACCGCCATTGTCATCATGGCCCGTTCTCAATGAGCTGTTGGGTACACCTCCCAGATGGGGTGCTGGCCGGGCAGAGGGGCTCCTCACTTCCCAGTAGGGGCGGCCGGGCAGAGGCGCCCCTCACCTCCCGGACGGAGCGGCTGGCCGGGCGGGGGGCTGACCCCCCACCTCCCTCCCGGACGGAGCGTCTCGCCTGGCGGGGGGCTGACCCCCCCACCTCCCTCCCAGATGGGGCGGCTGGCCAGGCAGAGGGGCTCCTCACTTCCCAGTAGGGGCGGCCGGGCAGAGGCGCCCCTCACCTCTCGGACGGGGCGGCTGGCCGGGCAGGGGGCTGACCCCCCCACCTCCCTCCCGGAGGGGGTGGCTGCCGGGCGGAGACGCTCCTCACTTCCCAGACGGGGTGGGCGCCGGGCGGAGGGGCTCCTCACTTCTCAGACGGGGCGGCTGGGCAGAGACGCTCCTTACATCCCAGATGGGGCGGCGGGGCACAGGCGCTCCCCACATCTCAGATGATGGGCGGACGGGCAGAGATGCTCCTCACTTCCTAGATGGGATGGCGGCCGGGAAGAGGCGCTCCTCACTTCCTAGATGGGATGGCGGCCGGGCAGAGACGCTCCTCACTTTCCAGACTGGGCAGCCAGGCAGAGGGGCTCCTCACATCCCAGACGATGGGCGGCCAGGCAGAGACGCCCCTCACTTCCCAGACGGGGTGGCGGCCGGGCAGAGGCTGCACTCTCGGCACTTTGGAAGGCCTAGGCAGGTGGCTGGGAGGTGGAGGTTGTAGCGAGCCGAGATCACGCCACTGCACTCCAGCCTGGGCACCATTGAGCACTGAGTGAAGGAGACTCCGTCTGCAATCCTGGCACCTCGGGAGGCCGAGGCTGGCGGATCGCTGGCGGTTAGGAGCTGGAGACCAGCCCGGCCAACACAGCGAAACCCCGTCTCCACCAAAAAAATACGAAAACCAGTCAGGCGTGGCGGCGCGCGCCTGCAATCGCAGGCACTCGGCAGGCTGAGGCAGGAGAATCAGGCAGGGAGGTTGCAGTGAGCCGAGATGGCAGCAGCACAGTCCAGCTTCCGCTCGGCATCAGAGGGAGACTGTGGAAAGAGAGGGAGAGGGAGACCGTGGGGAAAGGGGGGGGGGGAGGGGGAGGGGGAGCCCTTCTTTCTATATTCCTTCCTTCTGACAGAAATTTACTCCTACCTTTAACTCAGACTAGATAAAATGATCTTGTCTTCCAGAGCACCCTCTTTACCTTCCTATTTACTCTTTGCTTAGCTATCCTTCCTGCTTCCTTGGATACCTCATACAATCACCCCTCCCCTTCCACTAGCTCCTAATTACCTCTACAAGACTCTCAACTTAACTCACTCTCTGATAAACCAGTCCAATCCTTCCCTGGCAAATGATTGTTGGCTTTGTATCTCTCTATCAACTTCTGCTTACGTTGCCACTCCCATTCCTGCAAAAAACTGCTTCTTTACCATTTTGCAGTGTTCTGTGACTTCACATACTGCATAGTTTTTATGACGTACAAAAGTTTTCTAATCCAGACAAATTAATCAGTTTTTCTTTTTGAATTTGGAAATGTTTTTGTTATTCCAAACCGTGGCTCAAAAAACAATTTTATGTCTCCCTGGGCTCATGCAGGATTGTTTCTTTTTTCACTATTTTTTTTTTTTTTTGAGACGGAGTCTCACTCTGTCGCCCAGGCTGGAGTCCAGTGGTGTGATCTCAGCTCACTGCAACCTCTGCCTCCTGGATTCAAGTGATTCTCCTGCCTCAGCCTCCCCAGTGGTTGGGATTACAGGAGCCTGCCACCACGCCTGGCTAATTTTTGTATTTTTAATAGAAATGAGGTTTCTCCATGTTGGCCAGGCTGGTCTCAAACTCCTGACCTCATGATCCACCCGCCTCGGCCTCCCAAAGTGCTTTGATTACAGGCGTGAGCCACTGCGCCTGGCCAGGATTGTTTCTTTAACACGGATGTTTAGAATGGGATTTTTGTTGTTTCATTAAGCATGTAACAATTGCATTTTGAGTTTTAATAGATACTATCACACTACCATCCACTCACAATCCTAATATGAGAGAATCTATTCCCATAGAATCTTCTAAATCTTTGATTTTAAAGCAAACTATTGTGTTTGCCAGTTTTGTGGAGGATAGTTTATTACATTGCTATTTGAATTTGAATTTTTTTGTTCATTTGTGAGTTTGAGCTAATATTTATATATATTGACTATTGAAATATTCTCTTATATAATCAGTCTATATCCTTTGCCCAATGTTCTGTGGCATTTCCATTAATTTATTGATTAGTTAACAATTTTTCATAAGAAATTTAGCCCATCGTCTGCCTTATGTGATCAAAATTTTTCCTGAACTTCATATACTTCTTTTAATTTTGTTATTTTCTTCATGCAAAGAAATCCATAATTTTCTTCAATTTTTTTCACTTGTGTCTTCTGGATTTTGTCTTGCTTACAGTGTCTTATTTTTTAAAAAAGAATTATTTTAACAGCTTTACTAAAGCGTAATTTACATATTACAAAATTCACTTATTGTACATGTAAAATTTAATGATTTTAGTAAATTAATAGATTTGTGCAATTATCACAACAATCCAGTTTTATAACATTTCTGTCACGTTCAAAATTTCTCTATTTATAGTTAATTCCCACCAATAGCCCAAGTCCTAGGCATCCAATGATATGCTTTTTGTGTCTATAATTTATCTCTTCTGGATATTTCAAGTAAATGAAATCATACGACATGTAATCTTTTGTGTCCAGTTTCCATCACTTAGTTAACATTATTGAAGCTCATCAGTTTGTAGTATGTATCATCATTTTGTTTCTTTTCATTTCATTTTCTCTTTTTTCATTTGTATAAATGTATAAGATCCAAGTGTAGTTTTGTTACATGCATAGGTCGTATAGTGGTGAAGTTAGTGTTTCTACAGTATCCACCACCCAAATCACATGCATTGTCCCCATTAAGTAATGTCTCATCATCCAGACTGCATGGGTTGAAACTTGCCTTGGGAAAACTATCCTCATGTTCATGGTATCTCCCCTGTCAGATAAGTCTGTTTTTGTTCCCTTTTATTGTTGAATGATATTGCCTTGCATGGATGTAGTATCATTTTGTTAATCCATTTACTAATTGAAGGATATTTGTATTGTTTTCAGTTTGGGCCTGCTATGGCTAAGGCTGTTCTGAACCCTTGAACACATATCTTTGTGAGGACATATGTTTTTATGTCTCAGGTAGATTCCAAGGAGTGAAATTGCTGGGTCATATGGCAAATTTATGTTAAACTTTTTAAGAAATTGTCATATTTCCAGATATTTGTAAAATCATACATTCCCACCAATAATACATAAGGATTTAGAAAGTCTGTTTGTCTTCAAACATATTTATAATGATGATGATAGAAATAACATCTGTCAGCTGGATGTGGAGGCTCACGCTTATAGTCCCAGCACTTTCAGAGGGCGAGGTGTCAGATCACGAGGTCAGGACTTGGAGACCAGCCTGGTCAACATAGTGAAAACCCGTCTCTACAAAAAATATAAAAATTAGCCGGGCATGGTGGCGGGCGTCCATAGTCCCTGCTACTTTGTAGGCTGAGGCAGGAGAAATGCTTGAACCCAGGAAGCAGAGATTGTGGGGATCCGGGATCGCGCCACTGTATTTCAGTCTGGGCAATAGAGTGAGACTCCGTCTCAAAAAATAAAAAAAAATCTATCTTGTTAATTTTATATTGTCCCTTTATGTTTCAACTTTTATTTATCCAGGATCCATTTAATGAAAGAAATGAGTTTGGAATGCAACTTACAAAAAAATGAAACTAAATCTCAACTCTTTCTGTTTCTAATTCTATACTCTGTTTTACTAGCGTATTTAATAAAAAAAATCCGTAACAAATGCATTTTAAAAAATAAATGTATAGTACGTTTTGGGACCTTAAAGAGCTAGTCATTCTTTATTCTACCTTTTTTCAAAAATTTCCTGGAAAATATATTTATCTCATAAAATAACATGTCAGCATGCTTAATTGAGTTCTAAAAACAATCGTTTTTGCTTGCTTTTTTGTTTTATTGTAATTGAGTTAATGGCTGACATTTTATATATATACACACATATATACACATTTTATATATATGCACATATATACACATATATACACATATATATACACATATATATGTGTATATATATGTGTATATACTCATTCCAATATGTGAGAAAGTGGGTACTGGGAAAACTCTGGAAACAGTTTAGTTGCTGCTTATAAACGCACACAGGAAAATGTAGTATCTTTTTCCTGCATTTGAAGTTGTTGTGAAAGAATAAGAAACCTAAAGCTGCTGCGGGGGTCCTCCTACCATCTCAGGAAAGCTGACATGCTGTGTGTGATAGAGAGATGAGCTATGAAGTCCCAGGATCACTGGTGATGCCACTGGCCTGCTGAGTTGAGCAAACCTGGAGATGCCCAGCCTTGGATCTATTGGCTATGTGAGATAATGGGTGAAAGAAAAATACACCCCACTAGATCAGATTTCCTGCTGTTCACAGCAGAAGGCATCTTCATTATAATATTCAACCCACACATTTTAGTTCTACCTTATAATTCCACACCACAAGTCTCATATGAATGAGACAAATCATTTTCTCAACTTAGGGAACAAAGTCTTATTTGTTGCAACTCTGGGATCAAACAGAGCAGACATAATTATCAGCTTAATATATTCTTATAGGTTTTATATTCTTATAGAATTTATATGTACCTTTACACACCTGGTATGTATGTACAAGTAACATGTAATATAACTAAAAATGAAATATGCACAAAATATACACTGAATTTGATTGAAAATAAAATAACAGTTGTCTCTGACGGTAGAAAAATTATGCTCAAATGATTATGTTGAAATAAAATTTGAATTGATTATGTACTTTTAGATTTGACATATTTGATACTGACTCTCAGAATACGATGGAGAACCCTCCATCTTCTAAATTTGTCTTTCTCTGAAATCTGTACAAGTCCTTTGATAATACCATATAATTGAAGTCTCTGGAATGAAAAACTATAATTTGCAGTTATAGATACACAATATTGTAGACGGGGTTGAGAAAGAGTTCTGATTGACTTGCTAGCTGGTTTATCATCTCATGTTTGCCAAGTTTGTTTCTGTTCTTATAGTCTGTTCTCAGTTTTTATGCATTGCCTTCTTAAACATTAGGTTTACTTTTTAAATTGACAAGAAAAAATTGTTTATTTATGTCATACAGCATGAAGTTTTGATATATGCCTATAGTGTAAAATGTCTAAATCAACCTATTTAACATATGCATTACCTCACACACTTCTGACATATCCATGAAAACCATTATTCTATCGGGAAATAATCTTCACTTTTTCTTTTCTTTTTATTTTTTGTCCTTGGAGCCAAATGACCAGACGATTTTTAACTCCATGTTTGAGAAACATTTAATAATGTAATGTGTTTGTGGCACAGGAGGAGTACAGATGCATGGGAGGCAGGAAGCGTTAGGTAAAGGGGAGCACAAAACTTGGAAGATGAGGGGCTGCCATCAATGCTGGGACTTCAGGCCAAAGGCATGAGCTGAGGCAGCCACAGGGGAGGACATTTTCTGCAGAGTTGCTGAACCAGTAGCAACCAGGTCCGGAGAAAGGTCTCTCTTGTGGAAGAATGAGAGCCAAGCGGGGAAGTGTTTCATCCTGCAAAGCTGGGGCAGAAGGTTTTTCCTTGAATGTGGTCATCTTCACTTCAGCTCAGGAATCCTGCAGAGACACAAGAAAGTGTTGTTTTCAGACCTGGCTCCACTAACAGTTTATTTTGCCCTCTTTCAAAGACTCAGATGAGAGCACTGCAGGAAGAAGAAAAACAAGTTCTGAAGTCTCCATGAGTCAATACTCCTGCAGAGCACAGGCCTTTTCTAAGTGGAGAGGAGGAGTTTTGGTGTAAATTGCCTGATCAGAAATTTGGATCCAATGTCTTTGCTATTACTTCTGTCTCATGCCTTATCACCTTTACCATCATTCTAGGGAAAGGAAATCTCTTTCTTTTCTTTCTTTCTTTCCTTCTTTCCTTCCTTCCTTCCTTCCTTCCTTCCTTCCTTCCTTCCTTCCTTCCTTCTTTCTTCCTTCCCTCCCTCCCTCCCTTTCTTTCTTTCTTTTTTTTTTTTTGAGACGGAGTCTCATTCTGTTGCCTAGGCTGGAGTGCAGCGGTGCAATCTCGGCTCACTGCAACCTCTGCCTCCCGGGTTCAAGCGATTCTCCTGCCTCAGTCTCCTGAGTAGCTGGGATTACAGGCGCACACCACCACGCCCCACTAATTTTTGTATTTTTAGTAGAGACGGGGTTTCACCATGTTGGTCAGGCTGGTCTCGACTCCTGACCTCCTGATCTGCCCCCCTCGGCCTCCCAAAGTGCTGGGATTACAGGTGTAACCCACCACGCCCGGCCTCCAAATCTGTTTCTTAAAGAGGATGAAAAGGTATTACCTGTTGGCTGAAGTCCAGAGTGTCCTAGGGAAAAGAGGAAAAGATATGGACTTAAAGGATACGGAAGCAAATCTGTCCTCCAACACAATGTTCCAGCCCCAGATCTCCCACCTGAGATTTCTCTAACACCACAACCCACACCAACCAGGGCACAGAGGAGCAGAAACAGACCACGTGACCCATGAAGCGTGAAGTGTCTGTCACAGGATCCAGTGTAATTCCATTAGCCTTAGTGGCTCTTCCTTAATTTGCTCCAGAATCTCAACCAAAGCACCCATACCTGTTAACCTTTCTGTTATCTCTGTAGGCCACAAGCTATTATGCTTTGACATAGCAACCATGCACTGATGATTTCTGGAATTGCAGAACATTGGAGGTCATTTGGGAATAGAAAGGCTTTATCCAGGGCCATTCATATACTGAGAACTAACCTCAGCAAAGCCATAGTTCCTCCTCCAGAAAAGCGTATGGAGAGAGCCAGTTACCAAAGGCTCCTCACCTTTCTGATTCCTGAAGTAGATGAACAACCCGGCCCCAAGGAAGAGCAGGCCCAGCACAAAGCCCCCGACTCCACTCAGCATCTTGCTCTGTGCAGATTCAGACCGTGCTCCTGAGAGAGGAAGCAAGGATTAGTGATTTTTATCTTAAATGGAACCCCTTTAATTGACACCCTGAGATTCAGAGCTTTGAAAATGAGAAAGAAGGCTGCCCTGCAAGAACTAAAATAACTATTTCTTGAGAAAAAAAGGTTTTCAAATCACACTGAACAGTTACAAGATTCAGGCATCAAAGTCATTCAAATATTACAACCTTGATGTAAGGCAGGACTTCAACATCTGATCCACAGAAAGCCTGAGACCCAATGAGGTTAAGTAGTTGCCTAGAGTGACAGACCTAATAAAAGGCAGAGCTGAGATTGGACTCTCCTCATGTCAGGAAGGCCCCTATACTTCTCCTCTTCTCAGATTACAACAAACAACTCAGAGCAACAGCACCAGAAACTCAGTCTCAGACCCAGAGGCAGGGCCTGGAGCCCACGGACAGCAGGTGATCCTGACCTGTGACATCATGGGGAGGTTCAAAAGAGGGACAGCCTCTCCTGCCTGGCAGGCATGACTTCTTCCCCAGGGGGTACAGGTGTTTCTAGAAAGTATTACAGGGCTACCCTCAGTGACCTGTGCTGATGGAGATGAGAACATGGAGCAAATGAAAATAGGATGTGGGAGAGGAGAAACCCGACACTCAGGTATTAGCACAGTCCCCTTCTTGGTGGGTGAGAAATTTATGAAGTCAGAAAGCTGCTCACTCCATTCCACTGTGAGAGGGCTCATCACACTTGGGTGCTCCACTTGGCAGGTGTAAACTTCTCCACTCCGAGGAACTGTTTCCAGCATCACCAGGGTCTGGAAGGTCCAGTCTCCATTCTGGATCAGGCCTGTGGACACCACCCCAGCCTTCTCTTCCTGGCCGTTCCGGAACCACCTGACTTCAATGCTGCCTGGATAGAAACCACTCACAGAGCAGACCAGGAGGTTGTGGTGCTGCAGGGGCTGAGTCTTGGCAGGATACACAGTCACCTCAGGATGGACTAGGAGAAAACAAGGTAGAGGGAATGAGTCAGGAAGACAGAGTAAGTCTCCTTGTTTAGTTTTTTGTCTGCTTCTCTGTAAACCTAGGCTCTGGCCTTGAGCAGACCTCCAACACAGCTGGCCATGTGGCCTCACAGTCTCATCAGCCTGGAATTTAATCTTTATAGTGGGGACCCATTAGATTTGAGAGATACTGTGAAAAATTATGTTTGGCTCTTCATAGCTTGAAATTGACATGCATTGTCAAAGTGTTTACAAATCTTTGAACGTACAGAGTGTAGTAATTAAAACTGACTTCTGAGCCAGGTTGCCTGGTTCAAATCCAAGGTCTGCCTTTTACTGGTTGATCCTGGAAGAGTATTTGATTCTTTTGTGTCTCAACTTTCTCACCAGTAATGGAGGATAATTATATTAATTTACCTCTTGAGGTTATATGAGGATTAATGCGAGTAAAATATATAAAAAAAAGACTGAAGATAGCCTTCAATTTATGAGGTTAGAAAGCTTCTCACTCCATTCCACTGTGAGAGGGCTCATCACACTTGTGTGCACCACTTGGCACCTATTTATCATCCTTGTACACCTTGAGGGAAAAATATGATTTAAAGCAATGTGGATAGAGAAAGGGACGGAGTAGGGCACATGAGGAAACTGAGTATGAATTTTTAGGAATACTACTGCCATGCACTCACACCTTAGAACACCACAGAAATGGTTATGCTCCTGGGAAGGTGGGACAGACAGAAATGATTCTCCAAATCTTTAAGTTCCTAAAAAAGCATGAGTCCTAAAGCAGAGAGAAGGATTAAGGAACGTCATTTTAGTTTTGAAAGTTCTTATATTTACATTTAGCTGATCAATGCATCTCCCAGGCAAAACAAGTATAACTATTATTAGGCCTATCATTGTAAAATGATTTTTCTTTCCAGAATGAAATTTGGATCAAGGCAGGGTCTGGGACTCATTACTTGGGGTGATTATGCCTAGGGAAATCCCTAACACACTAGCATGCTCTCAATAAATACATTTTTTTTAAGAAGGAAGGAGAAACTTGGAGACAACAATACCACAAAATGGTAGACTTGAGCTAGTTTGTAAATCATTAATTAATATTTTGCAATATATTTTACTAAACAAAAATGTTCAAATTCTTAACATGGAAAAGAATTTTCAAAATATACATACCACAAACTGGAGAAAATACTGAATCAAATATCAATAAAGTGTTAATAATCTTACAGTACAAAGAACCCACAAAGTCACTGAGAAAAATACTAAGCCCTAGAGATAACAGACAATAGATCACTGTCCATTACACAACAGGTAATTGGTTGAGCAGTAATTATAACTGGCCAATAAATAGGTCAATATAATTCAAAAGAATTACAAACCAAAAAAATATAAATCAAAAATTAACCAGAAACATACATTTTCAACTTTTGGTCAATGTCATAATAAAGGTCATCAAAGGGGAAAGTGAGGTAATTTGTGTCACAACTATTAAATATAAAAGAATAATATGTAACTATGGAATTATTAGCATTATAATGAAATAGTAACTGTGTTCAAACTTTAATTCAAAAAGTTAGTTTCACAGTCATTTCAAGTATGTAAAAATATACACACTAAGAAAACAAAAAAATAGCAAGAAATTTAGACCTAAAATAAAGAAGCTTCAGAGGTGCCTCAGAGGTCTCCTCAGTTCCCCTAGAAATTAATTTAATGCTTTTGCAAACAAACAGCACACACTTTTATTTCAGAGATTGCATGAAGGGTGTGTGCCAGGGACCGTCTGGTACTGGCCTCCTCACATTATCCCAAACCTTCTATACCCCTCAGTTCTCCTCTCCTAAACCTTCACCCCAACCACACACACCCTACACTTCCCTTCCCTGCATCTCCAAGGACCCAGGACAATCAAGGTCCAATCTGTCTCCAGCCCCCTGTACCCCCCTCCCACGTCACCTCCCCACAGAGGCCTCCAAGGATAAGAAGCAGCCCCCCTCCTGCCTCCCCTCCCACAACAGCCACACAGACAAATCCACACTCTACACACACACCTGTGCCTTCAGAACTCCTTGCTCAGGATTGAGAGGATTCTGAATGCTCACAGATGGCGGTCTCGCTCTCTCTCTCTCTCTCACACACACACACACAACCACACTCAGATTCCCAGCTCGGAGAGACCCAGGCCCCGCCTCCGCCGCGCTCACCTCGCCGCTGCACTGTGAAGCTCTCACCAACCCCGTAGTTGTGTCTGCACACGGTGTCCACCTGGCCCCGCCTGTCCTCCAGGATGTCCTTCTGGCTGTTCCAGGACTCGGCGACAGGCCGCCCTAGCTCCGTCACCGCCCGGTACTCCCCCACGTCGCTGTCGAAGCGCACGAACTCCTCCTGGTTATAGAAGAGTCTTTCCAGGAACTGCACCCGCTCCGTCCCGTTGAAGAAATGACACTTATACTTACCCTGCCACAGGAAACGTGCTGTGGGGGCACAAACGATCCGGTCACAGGGGCGGTCTCCGGGAAAAACACTGACAGCGACGCCGCCATCCGGGGCTCCCTGGGCAGGGTGCGGGCACTGGGAACCTTGACCGGCCCCACCCGCAACCCCGACTGCGCGCAGGCCAGGGGATCATCCTCTGTCTTTCTGAAGCGGACGGGGGTCTGGGGGACCAGGTGGGAAAACTACCTCTGATCCCCAGGCTTTGGGACCCCCTCCCTGCCTCCAGCCGGTTCTGGAGACCTCTAAGCAGGAGCTGGAGGAGGATCCGTCCAGCACCGCAGCCCGCACCGACTCCTCCTGGGAGCCTCCACCCCAAACACACTCTCTGCTCCTTCTCTCAGCCCTTTACCCTTTAAAGGCTTTACCCTTCCCTTAAACAGCACCCACCGCGTTCATCCTGTGCACACTTCCTTAGTGATGACCTTGTGTTTGGCCTGCGCTGCCTCTAGGAATCCAAACAAGGGAAAACAGACCTCTCCACTCTGCTGGGGGAGCTTAAAGAGCAGTGAAAGTGATGGCCAAAAACCAAACACGCAAGAGCTTAGACAGGAATGAGAAATGTCAGAAGTGTGGAGTTCTAGAGCAGAGAATAATAGGATGATCTCAATTACATTAGGGTGCCAGAGGAGGACCCTCTGAAGAGTGACGGTTCAGATGTGACTTGACAGGTTAAGCAGGGGTGAGCCAGGAGCAGGGTGGAGCCTGTGTGTCTGCTTGGACAAAACGGGTGGCACATTTCAGGTTTCGGAAATCCCATGTACAAAAGCTTAAACTGATGAACTTAATCAAAAAACTAGAACAAATTTCACTAAAGCAGAGAGGCTGAGGGGAAGGAGGGTAAAAGATTAGACTGGAGAAGTCACAAGAAGCCAGGTATTTAAAAGCCTCGTGGGTGGTGTTAGGATTTTGGATTTACTAAAGACAATGGGAAAGTATCGAAGAGTTTTAAGGAAAATAAAACTATGATCCCCATAAATGTTCACAAACCTTCCTTTGCATTTCTAAATTCACAAAGCTCAGAAATTCAGTTAAAAGAAATTTGTTCCCAAAACTCATTTGGCAAATCTCATCTGATAAGGGTAAGTGGTCAAAGGTGTCTCAGAGCTCTTATTGGTTACATGTGCTTCTGTAGTTTCAATACATATAAACACACATACATATATGTGTGTAAATATACACATACGTAAAACACTATGTACATGTTTTTGATGTTTTTGTCTTTATGTTTGATTGAAGTGTGAAAATGACAAACATAACTTTAAAATAATCCTGTGGGTAAAAGTGAAATGAATAAATAGAAGCATTTTACATTGTGAATAATATCAAATGTAGAATCACTACAGAAATCTGAGGCATGTTAGTGAAAAATAATTGCAGCAGCATCACTATTTATGACTTATAAGGGCAAGCTGTTGAAAGTTAATATAGTGCTGACCAAAAACTCATGAAAATGTTCAAAAATATTGCATAAGGCAAAAAATAAATATGAAAATGTTGAGATTGCATTGACTAAATGGATTCAACAAGTAAGTGGTTGAATTTATGCAACTGTCTAGTTTTTTATAGTGAAACAAGCAAAAATAAACCATAAAGAACTGAATTGGGCAGTGACTGTATAAAAGATGTGAGTCTAGGCCAGGCGCGGTGGCTCAAGCCTGTAATCCTAGCACTTTGGGAGACTGAGGCAGGTGGATTGCCTGAGCTCAGGAGATCAGCCTGGGCAACATGGTAAAACCCCGTCTCTACTAAAATACAAAAAATTAGCTGGGCATGGCGGGGTGCACCTGTAATCCCAGCTACTCGGGAGGCTGAGACGGGAGAATCACTTGAACCTCGGAGGCAGAGGTTGCAGTGAGCCGAGAGGGAGCCACTGCACTCCAGCCTGGGTGACAGAGCAAGACCCCATTTCAAAAAAACAAACAAACAAAAAAGTGAGTCTAGAATTTTCAGAAAGAGCACAGTGTGAACCGGTGCTCTCAGCCTCAGCACTATTGACATTTTGGACCAGATAATTCTTTGTTGGTCATGGAGTCTGTTCTGAACATTGTGGGTTCTCTAGCAGTGTCCCTGGCTTCTACTCATTAAATATCAGAAGAAACCCCTGTTGTGACAACCAAAAAGTGTTCCAACATTGCCACACATTCCCTAAGGGTGGTGGGAGGGAAGGGAGGGGTGGTGAACTATCCCTGGGTAAGAACCACGGGTGTGAACCATCTGAAAAAATCTGTGTTGAATAAGCCACTATTAGTTATGGAGCAGCTGAGAATTGCATTGAAAAATATTGGTTGAAAATCTTTGTCCTACATAAAACGAATGTTTTCTAGAATTCTGGTCCCAGTACAGTGCTATCTTTCCAGAAAATGAACTTACTGAGAACCGAGATTCACTGATTACCTTGCCTTACCAATCAGTCACCAAATCATATAATTTATTTTTCACATCATCTTCTTTCTTAATTTCTCCGCCACTGGTCCACTAATTATCTGTAGTAATGAATCACAACCACAGCTATTTTATTCCTGTTTAATGCCCCAACTAACTCATTTATTTCAGTCTCCCATTCCCAACAATACTAGCAGGCCTCAAATTACCAGGCTTGGCCAGAGGTAGAACTCTCAGTTTTGTAGTGAAGTCCCTTCAGAAAGGGAGAAACCAAGAAAATGACATTCTCATACAGACAGTTTCAAAACATGAGCAGGTCCCCAGACTGTAAGCAAGACCTGCGGAAATCTCCCTTTGCCCTTTATAAAGGTTGGCAGAGAAGTGTGCACCCTGGATCAAATAATGTCTACCTTTTTATTCCTAAATTATCTAAGCACTTTCTTTACAGAGAGAAAGTTAAAAAATAAACATGTGTGAAGTTGCTTTCACTGTGGCTGTGGCTTGCATGGATAGCACTATAATCCATGCTCATGTGTCCCACTTAGGGGTGACAGATTTGGCAAATAAAACCAGAGGATACCCAGTTAAATTTGGACTTTCAGTAAATTATGATTGTGTATCCGAAATTCAGATTTAACTGGGAACCTGTATTTTATTTGGCAATCCTAGCCCAGCTTACTAGAAAACCTCAGACAAACCTCAGAAGAAGGAGTGATTTAATACTTCCTTGTGTTCTTCAACATATGCCCATGACAGACATATAGAGCTTTTAAAATGAATGAAAATTTCTCCTATACATTGGAACTAGCAGCCCTTGCATCTCTGCCCCCACTCTAATAAACAACCTGGTAACATATGAATATCAGAAATTCTGTCAATAATTTAAACACAATATAGTCACTATTCACTAATGATGGACAGACTCTCAAACTCTAGAATCAGAAAATCTGGATAAAAACGTGACCTCTTCTCCTTGGGTCAATTTTTACCAAACATAAACCTTTTTGTAATCTATCAAATGCATTTAATAATAGTTTAATCCTCACAGGATTATTGTTAAATGTAAAATTAAATAATGACTTCTTAGCACTGATCACATAATAAGCACTCGAATATATTCCCATTTTAACTTTTATAATCCCTATAACTGCAGCTCACATTTTTGTATTCCTTGATTCTAAAGCAATTAGTATATTCATCATGATTTTGCAATTGTCTTCTGTTCTTCTATTAGTTTCATAAAGAATTGTCATTCTGAAAACATAGGGCAGAAATGCTAGTTTATGTCTAATAATGCAGTATACCTAAACCTCACACAAAAGGCATCTGCTGACATAGAAGAAAGGGACTTTCTACATGCTCAGATTTAAAATGCAATCTGATTTCCAGCATTAAATTTGTAATACTGGGTTTTACTTATAATCTCTCAATTTTAGATTCCAGAGAAGTATATGTTTTTAAATACCACAGATACAACAGGATCACTATTGAAATCGAATACTGAAATTCATAGGCCTGGTACACAGTCACTGCAAAATGTTACATGGCATATACTGATGGCGACCGGGATTCATTTTATTCATCCCTCCATTCTCATGACCTAGAGTAATAACTGGTATATTCTATATTACTAATAAATATTGGCTGTGTGACCTTTTGCATGAGCAGTGAGCACTGCACACAGGGACCCTCTAGTATTTCCTTGCTAATAGTGACTGAGCATCTCTGGTTCACAGGTCCTCCTCCTTCTCTTCAGCCTCTTTAGCCTTTTCCTTTAGAGTCAGAGGGCTCCCTGAATCCAGAGCACAGTCCTTCCCTGAAGGTCTCTACTCAAAACAGTCAACCTTAACCTTGTCTTCACTTCTACTCGCTCTTCAAAAGGTCCAGTCCAGTTTCCATCCTGGATACTCCATTGACTGCAAATATCAACTCCAGCAAACCCAGCACTTGCTTCTCTGTCACATTCTCATTTCCCCCTCCTCTTAGTGGTACTCACCACAATTGGACTCTCCTTTCTCCTTGAAAATAATCTATTTTCCGTGACTTACACGCATTATGTTCTCTTTTCTCCAACATCCCTGGGCTCTTTCTCAGCCGCCTTTGCTGGCCTGTGCCCTCTTCTTTTTTCTCCACACAATCCATCTCCCTATGTATCCTCTTCCACTCCCTGGAATTTAACACACTACATGTATTGATGCCGCCAACATAAATACCTGAAGCCCTAGCCTCACCATGAGTCTCTTAAATGCCATTGACCTTCTGATTGCTCCACAGAAATGTCAATAAATCATCTCAAATTTAAACAAAATTTTATTTCCAACCACCCATTTCAAATCATTTCCTCCCATAGTTTTTCCTGTTTCAATAAACAACACCATCATCCATTTATTTGTCAAAACGAAATCCTTAGGAATAAGCTTGATTTTTCTACCCCCTTTAGAGTAATCCATTAACAAGCTAAGCAAAAATACATGCCGAGTCTGTCCACTTTGTTGTTTTCACTGTCTTTATTGCTACTGCACTCTATGAAGCCACAAGCCTGCTTTCCCTGGGGAATTCCCTGCTATGTTCCTAAATAGTCTTCCTGACCACTTGTGAAACCCAACAATCCAATCCCCACAGAGTAGCTAGAATTAATTTTAATAATTGAATAGAGGCCGGGTGAGGTGGCTCAAGCCTGTAATCCCAGCACTTTGGGAGGCCGAGGGGGGTGGATCATGAGGTCAGGAGATCGAGACCATCCTGGCTAACACGGTGAAACCCCATCTCTACTAAAAATATAAAAAATTAGCCGGGTGTGGTGGCATGCGCCTGTGGTCTCAGCTACTTGGGAGGCTGAGGCAGGAGAATCGCTTGAACCCAGGAGGCAGAGGTTGCAGTGAGCCAAGATTGTACTACTGCAATCTAGCCTGGGCAACAGAGCAAGACTCCATCTCAAAAAAAAAATTGAATATAAATTGACTCTCCTTGTAACCATACAGTAGCTTCTCATATCTATTTAAATAAAATTCAGGTTGGGCACGGTGGCTCACGCCTGTAATCTCAGCACTTTGGGAGGCCAAGGCAGGCAGATCATCTGAGGTCAGGAGTTCCAGGCCAGCTTGGGCAACATGGTGATATCCTGTCTCTACTAAAAATACAAAAAAATTAGCCAGGTATGGTCACGGGCACCTGTAAATCCCAGCTACTTGGGAAGCTGAGGCAGGAGAATCACTTGAACCTGGGATGTGGAGGTTGCAGTGAGTCGAAATTGTGCCATTGCACTCCAGCCTGGGCAACAAGGATGAAACTCCATCTCAAAAAATAAATAAAAATAGGGAATCCTTTCCCCATTGCTTGTTTTTCTCAGGTTTGTCAAAGATCAGATAGTTGTAGATATGTGGCGTTATTTCTGAGGGCTCTGTTCTGTTCCATTGATCTATATCTCTGTTTTGGTACCAGTACCATGCTGTTTTGGTTACTGTAGCCTTGTAGTATAGTTTGAAGTCAGGTAGCATGATGCCTCCAGCTTTGTTCTTTTGGCTTAGGATTGACTTGGTGATGAGGGCTCTTTTTTGGTGCCATATGAACTTTAAAGTAGTTTTTTCCAATTCTGTGAAGAAAGTCATTGGTAGCTTGATGGGGATGGCATTGAATCTATAAATTACCTTGGGCAGTATGGCCATTTTCACGATATTGATTCTTCCTACCCATGAGCATGGAATGTTCTTCCATTTCTTTGTATCCTCTTTTATTTCCTTGAGCAGTGGTTTGTAGTTCTCCTTGAAGAGGTCCTTCACGTCCCTTGTAAGTTGGATTCCTAGGTATTTTATTCTCTTTGAAGCAATTGTGAATGGGAGTTCACTCATGATTTGGCTCTCTGTTTGTCTGTTATTGGTGTATAAGAATGCTTGTGATTTTTGTACATTGATTTTTTATCCTGAGACTTTGCTGAAGTTGCTTATCAGCTTAAGGAGATTTTGGCTGAGACAATGGGGTTTTCTAGATATACAATCATGTCATCTGCAAACAGGGACAATTTGACTTCCTCTTTTCTTAATTGAATACCCTTTATTTCCTTCTCCTGCCTAATTGCCCTGGCCAGAACTTCCAACACTACGTTGAATAGGAGTGGTGAGAGAGGGCATCCCTGTCTTGTGCCAGTTTTCAAAGGGAATGCTTCCAGTTTTTGCCCATTCAGTATGATATTGGCTGTGGGTTTGTCATAGATAGCTCTTATTATTTTGAGGTATATCCCATCAATACCTAATTTATAGAGAGTTTTTAGCATGAAAGGTTGTTGAATTTTGTCAAAGGCGTTTTCTGCATCTATTGAGATGATCATGTGGTTTTTGTCTTTGGTTCTGTTTATATCCTGGATTAATGGTGCTGGGAAAACTGGCTAGCCATATGTGGAAAGCTGAAACTGGATCCCTTCCTTACACCTTATACAAAAATTAATTCAAGATGGATTAAAGACTTAAATGTTAGACTTAAAACCATAAAAACCCTAGAAGAAAACCTAGGCATTACCATTCAGGACATAGGCATGGGCAAGGACTTCATGTCTAAAACACCAAAAGCAATGGCAACAAAAGCCAAAATGGACAAATGGGATCTAATTAAACTAAAGAGCTTCTGCACAGCAAAAGAAACTACCATCAGAGTGAACAGGCAACCTACAAAATGGGAGAAAATTTTCGCAACCTACTCATCTGACAAAGGGCTAATATCCAGAATCTACAATGGACTCAAACAAATTTACAAGAAAAAAACAAACAACCCCATCAAAAACTGGGCAAAGGACATGAACAGGCACTTCTCAAAAGAAGACATTTATGCAGCCAAAAAACACATGAAAAAATGCTCATCATCACTGGCTATCAGAGAAATGCAAATCAAAACCACAATGAGATACCATCTCACACCAGTTAGAATGGCAGTCATTAAAAAGTCAGGAAACAACAGGTGCTGGAGAGGATGTGGAGAAATAGGAACTCTTTTACACTGTTGGTGGGACTCTAAACTAGTTCAACCATTGTGGAAGTCAGTGTGGCGATTCCTCAGGGATCTAGAACTAGAAATACCATTTGACCCAGCCATCCCATTACTGGGTATATACCCAAAGGACTATAAATCATGCTGCTATAAAGACACATGCACACGTATGTTTATTGCGGCACTATTCACAATAGCAAAGACTTGGAACCAACCCAAATGTCCAACAATGATAGACTGGATTAAGAAAATCCATATACATCATGGCACATATACATCATGGAATACTATGCAGCAATAAAAAATGATGAGTTCATGTCCTTTGTAGGGACATGGATGAAATTGGAAATCATCATTCTCAGTAAACTATCGCAAGAACAAAAAACCAAACACCGCATGTTCTCACTCATAGGTGGGAATTGAACAATGAGAACACATGGACACAGGAAGGGGAACATCACACTCTGGGGACAGTTGTGGGGTGGGGGGAGGGGGGAGGGATAGCTTTAGGAGATATACCTAATGCTAAATGACGAGTTAATGGGTGCAGCACACCAGCATGGCACATGTATACATATGTAACTAACCTGCACATTGTGCACATGTACCCTAAATCTTAAAGTATAATAATAATAAAAAAAAGAAAAAAAAAGAAAAGGAAAAATAAATAAATAAATAAAAATAAAATTCAAATTTTTTACCGTGGACATCAGAGTCTAATATGATGAGGCTTCTGACTTCCTCTCTGTGTCCTATCTCATCTTCTGCCTCTCCATTTCCTTGCTTGCTATACTTCAGTCCCTCTAGCCTTCTTTCTGTCCCTCCACATAATTTCCCACACCAGAGCTTTCCCCCTATTTGTTCTCCCTGGAACTTTCATCCCTTAGATCTTTACATGACTGTCTACTTATTTTGTTATCTCAGCTGAATGTCACTTTCTCAGGTATAGCTGCCTAAACATATGAACTAAAGTAGGTGAATCCATTTCTCTCTTTTCCACAAACCTGATATCTTTTCTTCAGTGCACTATGACTCTCTAACATTTTCTTCTTTGTTAAATGCTTTTTGGGTTAGTGTCTGTCTCCTCCACTGTTGTGTAACTTCCATGACAGTAGTGACCCTCTCTGTCTTACTCAAATAGAATGATTTGAACTTAGAATGGAGCCCAGTAAAGAGTAGCTGCTGAGAAAAATAAGTGTGCTTTACATGAATAAAACAGGGTATGGGAACTGATCACTGTGGGGATCCCGGAAAGCAAGAAGGGGCTCAAGCTCCAGCACTCTTTCATTTTGATGTCATACTAGACCCCTTCTCCTCCTGGTGAGAAATACAGGCAAACTTCTTCTTTCTCCTCCTTCTAGGTGGAAGAAGAATTCACAGATAGAGAAACAATGATTTAAGAAAAAGGAAAATTTTTAATTGAGATTCATCTCTTTTTGCCTGGGCACAATGGCTCACATCTATAATACTAGCACGTTGGGAGGCTAAGGCAGGAGAATTGCTTGAGTCCAGGAGTTTAAGACCAGCCTGGGCAACATGGCAAAATCTCATCTCTACCAAAATTGTGAAAATTAGCTGCACATGTTTGCCTGCCTGTAGTCTCCGCTACTCTGGAGGCTGAGGAGGGAGGATCACTTGAGCATGGGAAGCAGAGGCTGCAGTGAGCCTAGATCACACTACTGCACTACAGCCTGGGTGACAGAAGCAAGCCCTGTCTCAAAAAGAAAAAAATTATGTCTTTCAATGGATCTCATAGTGCTAAGGATCTGTGCAAGTTTTAGAGATTTCTGGAAATGATGACAACATAGCTGGGGAAAAATAGAGAGAAACTGGAGGTAGAGGTAAGCAGACATGGCTAATTAAGGAAAGCTGAGGGCATGATGGGTGAACCTATGAAATTTAGGACAAGAACCCAGTAAGACAATGAGTTTCCAGGACTTGCTCATTGACTTTCAGCCCTATGAGATGTGAACAATGTCCACGTCATCTCAGTAACCCCACACAGAGTATATAGTTTGAACATTATTAATTTTCTGGTATTTGACTATTTTTGACTTACAAAAATAGAATTTCATATAATTTATCCTACGTTAGTTGAATCTCTTCTGTCATGTCTAGTTAGAGCATGTGGGAGAAACAAGTATAGAAAGGTTAAAAAAGATTAATAATAAGAACTAACCTGGGCCAGTTTTTCAGAGGATGCCTTAAGTTCTTAGGCACCAATGAATACCTCATAAATGGTCTTTACCTGTAGGGTGACTCCAAGTACTAAAGATCTCAATTTCAGATCCAGGGACTTTTCCCCATAAGAAAGAAAGAGCACTAAGCATAACTTCTGTCAGAGAACCTACATATGCTACAGGGATACAGGCTTTATAAACATTAGACTTCAGAAAAAAAAGAAAGGAGACAATGGGGAGGCCACTGTCCTTACATATAAGGAAGAGGGGCCAACACCACAGGTCCTGTGGAGGACAACACAGGATCGTCTAGGAGAGACCCTTTGAATTCCTTTGACTCCCACAAAATTTTCAAAACAAAACCTCGTTTTGTCTGACATAAGTCAACATGATAAAGGGAAGTGCTGTATGAGGAATTTATTTTAGCATCCTTATTTCTAAATCCTCTAAAGACCCTGAGGACATGTGATACAAAGGTTTTATTGGTGGAGATTTAAAGAAAAAAAATGGCCTATACAAAGGCCCCTTACACAGTCTCATGAAGAGGGCAAGTAGCCACGTTCCATTTGTGGTGGAAATAATTTGGGATCCATACAATAAAGATGGGCAATCCCTGAAGAAAATGTCACACTTTCTTAAGGGACATGGCCTGGGCACAATGTTAACAAAACTCCCTTTTTTCCCCACCCCATAGTAGCTCAGCACCCACAATGTGCACTTACGTTGGGTGTCCCCAGCCAAAGCCAGTGGGGAGCTCAGCACCATCAGTGTCACTGTCAGAGCTGCCATGCAGGAGCCTCCAGGGAGCTTCAGACACACCATGCTGGAGAACAGGACAGGACCAGGGGCCAGAGGAGCAGGTGAGTCTCACTCAGGGAGAACTATGACCCCTCTCCACCCACATTCCAAATTATAGGGAAGAAGTTACTGATTTCCTTGCTTGTGGATTGGGTAATCTAGTGTTGGAGAACGAATCAGCATCTGATTACAATAGCATCATCAGTCGCTGGTCAGAGATGCTGTATGAAGGTCCTCTTCTGAAACAATTTCCTCCTTTAAAGGATTGTTTTAATTTAGTACTTGAAAGGTTTGAACCAGTTGCGTGTAAAACACTTTAATTGCGTCCCTATTGTGAGCCAGCTCTGTGCTGGTCAGTGATGTGTTCACAAGTTTGAGCCTTGCAAGAGCATTCATTTCCCACTTGACAAGACAACTGTTTGCAGGAGTGAGCGTGTGAGTGTGTTTAGGAGTAAAGGAGATGGAGGGAACATGGTTGCAAATCAGGGGACCTTTAATCTGGTCCTTATTGCACCATATCTTACTGTTGTAGATTTGGGAAAATTACTTCATGTCTCACAGTTGAAATGAAGGCACCGGGATCTTTCAGGCCTTTCAATACTGGAAAATGCTGTGATTCTGTGGATGCCTCAAGGAGTAGCAGCCACGGGTATCTGTTGATATGACAGAATGACAGCTGTTGACTAGAGAGTGTAATCTGTACGTATTTACAGGTAGAGATGTTTTTAGTAAGTTAAAGGAAATGAAAAGTTTGTTAGTAATTTAATCTGAGTAAAAAGGGTTTTTTCAAGTGTATCTCCTGATGCTGCCCTCAAGTTTAGTGGCAGCTCCAGAACACACTCAGGCAAGGGGCTTGCAGGGGCCACCTATGTGCAATGGAGGGTCTGAAGGTGCCTTTGTACAGCACTTACCCTAACAATGTGATAAGGTCAACTGTGCAATCCAAGTATTCAGCGGTGTGAGAGACTGATCAAGGACTCAAAGTCAGCTGTTGACAGAACAACTCTGTTTTTGTTGCGGGAAGTCAGGGACCCCGAATGGAGGTACCACCTGAAGCCATGGCAGAAGAACATAGATTGTGAAGATTTCATGGACATTTATTAGTTCCCCAAATTAATACTTTTGTAATTTCTTACACCTGTCTTTACTGCAATCTCTGAACATAAATCGTGAAGATTTCATGGACACTTATCACTTCCCCAATCAATACCCTTGTGATTTCCTATGCCTGTCTTTACTTTAATCTCTTAATCCCATCATCTTTGTAATCTGAGGAGGATGCACATCGCCTCAGGACCTTTTGATGATTGTGTTAACTGCACAAATTGTTTGTAGAGCATGTGTGTTTGAACAATATGAAATCTGGGCACCTTGAAAAAAGAACAGGATAACAGCAATGTTCAGGGAACAAGAAAGATAACCTTAAACTCTGACCACTGGTGAGCCACGTGGAACAGAGCCATATTTCTCTTCTTTCAAAAGCAAATGGGAGAAATATTGCTGAATTCTTTTTCTCAGCAGGGAACATCCCTGAGAAAGAGAATACTTCCCTGAGGGTAGGCCTCTGAAATGACCGCTTCAGGGGGCGCCGTCTTCTATGGTCGAGCTGTAGAGATGAAAGAAGCCCCAGTATCCCATAGTGCTCCCAGGCTTATTAGGACGAGGAAATTCCCACCTAATAAATTTTTGGTCAGACCGGTTGTCTGCTCTCAAACCCTGTCTCCTGATAAGATGTTATCAATGACCATGCGTGCCTGAAACTTCATTAGCAATTTTAATTTCACCCCGGTCCTGTGGTCCTGTGATCTCGCCCTGTCTCCATTTGCCTTGTGATACTCTATTAGCTTGTGAAGCATGTGATCTCAATCTCTGTGACCCACACCCTATTTGTACACTCCCTCCCCTCTTGAAAATCACTAATAAAAACTTGCTGGTTTTGTGGCTTGTGGGGCATCACGGAACCTGCCAACATGTGACGTCTCCCGGGGACACCCAGCTTTAAAATTTCTCTCTTTTGTACTCTGTCCCTTTATTTCTCAGACTGGTCGACGCTTAGGGAATATAGAAAAGAACCTACGTGAAATATCGGGGGTGAATTTCGCCTGATATCTGGCTGAATTTCCCCTGATAGTTTTAAAATAATTAATATTTTATGTGAGGAGTGTTCAATCCCTCATTCCTGGTTCCCATTAGGATTTCCTCATTTGATTGAGGCTATGGCCCTTTACTGTTACACTTCTCTTGTTTTATCATAAGGGAATATATAAGAAGACTTTGCTGGCAGGACGCGGTGGGTCATGCCTGTAATCCCAGCACTTTGGGAGGCCGAGGTGGGCAGACCACTTGAGGTCAGGAGTTTGAAACCAGCCTGGCCCACATGGTGAAACCTCATCTCTACTAAAAGAAAAAATACAAAAATCAGCTGGATGTGGTGGTGCATGCCTGTAATCCCAGCTACTCAGGAGGCTGAGGCACGAGAATTGCTTGATTCCAGGAGGCAGAGGTTGCAGTGAGTTGGGAGCATGACACTGCACTCCAGTCTGGTCGATAGAGTGAGACTCAGTTACAAAAAAAAAAAAAAAAAAGACTTTGCTAACTAATATGTTACAGAATGTTCATGAAACAGAACCCTAGGGAAAATCTATGAATTACATCAGTTAATGTAATCATATAATTTTAAACATATAATTCTACATTTAGATACTTATTATGCTTTATATTTATATAAATGTAGCATCTAAGATTCAGAATGGACTTCAAAGTACAACTATACAGATAAAGTTCTGCATTAATTCACACTGTATCACAGTTCTGATAGGCACTCCTTCCTTATGTGCCTTAGTGTTTCTAGGGATGAGATACTCACCATGCTGCAATAAAAATGACTAAAATTTCTTGAGCAATTTTTGAGCATTTTGCTTTGTACTCAGAATTGTAGCAATTCTCAGAATTGTAACTCGGCCTCCCAAAATGCTGGGATTACAGGCGTGAGCCAGTGCGTCTGGCCAGCAAAGTCGTCTTATATCTCCCTTTATGATAAAACAAGAGAAATGGAATAGTAAAGGGCCATAGCCTCAAACAAATGACGAAATCATAATGGGAGCCAGGAATGAGGGATTGAACACTCTTCACATGAAATATTAATTATTTTAAAGCAGAGTTGTTCTGTCAACTCTACTGAACCAAGTAATTATATATGTGATTCCAACCCCTCAAGCTCTACCGTTGTATTATACTACCTCACATTCAATTTCTAAAGAGAATTACGTCCCTTATACTAAAATTATTTTTATCCCTTTAATTCATGGCTGTGCAAATCAGTAAGACTACTTCTTTTAATGAATGGCAACATTTTATAGACTTTGGGGTAGATACTGTGTAGCAATGCTAGTTCCTTCAAAAGATTCCCCTCATCACCATGGTTATTCTCCTCTGGAAATGACACAGTTTGCATTTATGTTACATAAGGACACCCATAGCTCCTGCAAAAATCTCCTTCTTATTAAAGTTTACAACAACAGCCTCAACATTCCTAACTCCATTCTATTACTCTCAATCATCATTTCCAATTTCTCAGCACGAAGTAGTGCAAGTTTGATCATTTCAGAATAGAATAAAAATATTGTCTCATTTACTTTGGAAAAATATATTTCTGTTAATGTGGAAAGTTGAATATTTCTTGGAGAGGTTGGGTAGAAATCACTATTGTCCCTGGATTTGAGAATAAACTGTGTTCCTACACTACAGTGATAATTCAGTACTATTGACAATTGTGCAGTTGCAACCAGGAGAATATCATATTTCATTTGATAATAGGAAATGTAATTTACTAATTAACTAATTGCGGTGTGGTAATCTAGGAAAGGAAGCTAAGGTTCACCTTAGTATTACAGGATAAAAGCGGAGGCAAAAATAAGTAATTCTACATCAAGACTGTACTAAAATATAGTTAAAGAGAAACTTTCAAAACTTGTTTATATAAATTTGACACACTATTTATAAATCATACAAATTTATATTTTAAAAATGGCCAATGGCAATGAACTAAATTCTGTATGTTTTATACACTTATGAGTAACAAAGATGTTGTCTTAGTTCATTTGTGCTGTGATAAAATACGTTAGACTAGGTAATTTATAAAGAACACATGGAGGCTGAGAAGTCCAAGATTAAGGCACCAGCATGTTCAATGTCTGGCAAAGGGCATGGTCTCCACTTCCAAGACGGCACCTTGCATCCTACAGAGGGGATGAACGCTGTGTACTCACATGGTAGAAGGTGGAAGGACAAGAGGCTAAAAACTGTGTGAAGCGTTTTTTACAAGGGCCTTAATCCCATTCATCAGTGAGGAGCCCTACCTGAATTTTAAAGGCGACACACTTAAACTATAACAGATATGCTTCTTTAAATTATATATCTCACACTTTCCTTCAATATTCAATATAAGCATAGTTCAGGCTAAACAATGTAGCAACTGTCACCAAACCATCAATCGTACAGGTGATCTCTAGGCTGAACTTTTGCACTGAAAACAAGAGAAGAATCCTCTCAACTCTGCTGTGTGTGAGAGGTGTCAAATACGAGAGCTTATTTCCTGAGGAAATGGCAATTAAATTGGTTTCTGGAAGAAAGTGGTTTTCCGTACGGAAGTTCCATGGTCTCTGGTCTTGATGAATGAAACCATAGGCTTGGTTTTACAGGAAATAAATCCCAGCATTCTCAGGACTAAACAGGTAAAATCAGAAGCACAGACTTTTGCTGAACAACAGGCAGGTTGACATTGGTAGGATTACAGCATGTCTTGAGTCCTACTGATTGTCACAGAATGGGGCTCACTTGTAGTAAGCCTGAAAGCTTGCAACACATTTTGGAAAAATAGGCTCTTTTGGCTATCAGCAAGCCCTGGTTATCATAGAATGTCTGTCACTTGTCCAGGTAGTCACAAAATGTTCTCAGGAGTTTTCAGAAAGCAACCACCACTAATCTGGAATTTAAAGTAAAAAGCAGATTACTAATCCTTATATCTAAAGAAAAAATGATAATAACAATAAATGGATAAACAGAACCAGTTTCTTCTTAGCATGGAAGGTGTGTATCCTGAACAGAAAACTGTGCCATTTAGAGGCCTCATTAGTATTCATCACACTTGACAGGACCCTTTCCAGTAAGATCTCAGCAATGTCCTCCACTAAGGAACTTTGGTAGCGCCAATCATTACACCATGACACTATCTAGGTCAGTTGACAGGACTTCTTTAACTTCCAAATGTCATTCTTTGGCTCAACTTAGCTGTTTTATAACAGAATGCTTGCCATTGCATATAGAGAAAACAACTAGAATTCCCATAGGCCTTTCTACTAATATTGTAAGTACAAAGAATTTTCTTTTGATTTATCTTTCTAGCTCTTATGTTAATTGTGCTGTGGTAAGTATCCACCTATCTATCCAGTCCAAAATAGGCCAGGTTATTTTTCAAAATTTCATTTTGGTGCTCCACTAGCCCACTCCCCAGTGACTGCAGTGTGGACAGTGAAGACATTGATGAACCTGTTGAGCTGTACCAACCTCTTTGCAATCTGTCCTGTGAAGTGTGTGCCTGGTTTGTTGCTTATTTTATTTAAAATAAATAATAAAATCTTTTACCTGTTATTTTTCTAATAGCTCATCCTTGCAGACAATTTATTATCTTGAAAAAGTAAACTTACTAGTACTTATTTATGTTAACAACATTTTACCTAAATAAAATCAACTTATGTGTGGCAAAAGAATTAGCTAATCCTTTTGTCATGACATCTCTTCCTACCCTGTGTGCCTGTCAAACAAAGCAACTCTCAGTATCATACAGCAATTCTGAGAAAAATGAAGCATAAGAACCACACTAACTATTGCTAGCATCCCTGTGTTGGTCATGTGGTCATTCAAGGGGTTACACCAGCAAGATAAAGGTGTAAAACTTGGTACTATTAAGTATCCATCTAGAGATGCTAAAGATGATTTGGGTGCAAACAAAACCCTGTCAGTGTCCATAGTTCACAATTTTGGATTTGACCTTAAAGAGGTGTCTAGTCAACTGTTAGAATAAGAAAAAAGGTACCAGCTAGTAAAAAAATAATCTAAGCCATAGCTATATTATTAACCAGAGGAAAATACTTTATAATAACCACAGCAGAAGATAATATAAGGATTATTAGAAATTTTTGAGTTTTTCCAGAAATGAGGAATCTTTATTGCTATTACAAGTTCTAAAGCTATGAAAAACAAAAAAGCATAACAAGAATCAGTTCTAAAAGCAACTGGTTCTGCCACTGAGGCAAAATACATAGACATGGGTTTATTTTCTCTCCAGAACAGGAGTTAAACACTAAATTCTTTTTTTTTCTTTTTTTCTTTTTTTTTTTTTGAGACAGAGTCTGGCTCTGTTGCCAGGCTGGAGTGCAGTGCCGTGATCCTGACTAACTGCAACCTCTGCCTCCTGGGTTCAAGCTATTCTCCTGCCTCAGCCTCCCGAGTAGCTGGGACTACAGGTGCACACGACCATGCCCAGCTAATTTTTGTATTTTTAGTGGAGATGGGGTTTCACCATGTTGGCTAGGATGGTCTCTATCTCTTGACCTTGGCCTCCCAAAGTGCTGGGATTACAGGCGTGAGCCACTGTGCCCAGCCTCCTAAATTATTTTAACTGTCAACGTTTCCTTCAGTGGTATTGCTGATACTAATTGCAATATCATTAATATTGACCATGGTTTTTTCACTTGTAGACTTACAGCCATGACCTAGATAGTGCCATGGTGCAAAGACTGGCTCCACCCAAAGTTCCTCGATGGATGACATTGCTGAAATCTTACAGGAAAGGGTCCTGTCAACTCTGATGAATACTAATATGGCCTTTAAATGGCACAGTCTTCTGTTGAGGATACATATCCTCCATGGTAAGAAGAAATTGATCCTGTTTATCCATTTATTGTTATTATTTTTGCTTAATAACTTTACACCATCAGAAACCAATTTGTGTTCCCATATGGGCAATTAATTGGAGTGTTTATCTAGATAGACTCTAGACCTAATTCCTTCCAAAGGGCCCACCTTCTAATCCTATAATATTGGGGCTTAGGATTTAACATATGATTAGGAGGGAACACAAACATTTAGTCTATAACATCTTTTTCCAAGACATATCTGTTCAAGTCCTTTGCCCATTTTTTAATCAGGTTGTTTGTTTGGTTGGTTGTTTTGCTCTTGAGTTGTATGAGTTCCTTATACATTTTTGAAATTAGCCCCTTATCAAATATATGGTTTGCAAATATTTTCTTCCATTCTGCAGGTTATCTTTTCATTCTGTTTATTGTTTTCTTTGCTATGCAAAAGCTTTTTAGTTTCACTTATGCTGAGTGAAATAAGCCAGTTACAGGAAGACAAATATTGCAGAATTCCTCTTATATGAGGTAACTAAAATACTCAAGCTCATAGAAGCAGAGAATACAATAGTAGTTAACAAGAGTTGGGGGCTGGGGGAAATGGAACGTTGTCACTAAAAGGGTATAAAGTGTTAGTTATGCTGGATGAATAAGTTCTAGAGATCTGCTATCTAACATAGTGCCTATAGTTAACAAAATAATGTTGTGCACTTCAAAATTTGTTTAGAGTTTTTTTGTGGCCTAACATCTCATCTGTCCTGGAGAAAGTTCAATGTGTGCTTGAGAAGAATGTGTATTATATCTAAAACATGCTAAAAAAATTCACCAAAACGCTATTAGAACTAATAAATGAATACAGTAAAGTTGCAGCATATAAAATCAACACACAAAAATCAGTAGTATTTCTATACACTAACAATGAACTATTCAAAAAACAAATCAAGAAAACAATCCCATTTACAATATCTATGAACAATATAAAATTCATATGGAACCACACAAAAAGCCTGAATAGCTAAGACAATCTTGAGCAAAAAGAGCAAAACTGGAGACATTACACCACTTGACTTCAAACTATATTACAAAGCTATAGTACTTAAAACAGCATGGCTGGGCACAGTGGCTCATGCTTGTAATCCCAGCACTTTGGGAGGCTGAGGCAGGTGGATCACAAGGTCAGGACTTCAAGACCAGCCTGGCCAAGATGGTGAAACCCCATCACTACTAAAAATACAAAAATTAGCTGGGCATGGTGGCAGCCACCTGTAATTCCAGCTACTCAGGAGGATGAGGCAGAGAATTGCTTGAACCCAGGAGGCGGAGGTTGCAGTGAGCCAAGATCACACCACTGCACTCCAGCCTGGGAAACAGAGCATGACTCCATCTAAAAACAATAACAACAACAACAACAAAACCCAGCATGGTACTGGCATAACAGTAGACACATCTACTGATGAAACAGTATAGAGAGCCCAGAAATGAATCTACTTATTTATGACCAAGTTATTTTCAATAAAGTTACCAAGAACACACAATGGGAAAAGGACAATCTCTTCAATTAACAGTGCTGAGAAAACTGGATATTCACATGCAGAAGAATAAAATTGGATCTTTATCTCACACCATATACAAAAATCAACTAAAAATGGATTGGAGACTTAAATATAAGACCTGAAACTGTAAAATACTAGAAGAAAACAGAGAGAACCTATACAACGTTGGTCTGGACAATGATTTTTATTTTATTTGACCCCAAAATCTTAGGCAACAAAATTTAAAATTAGACAAGTGGGATTACATCACATTAAAAAGCTTCTGCACAACAAAGAAAACAACAGAATGAAGAGACAACCTATCAGCTGGGAGAAAATATTTTCAAGCAATACATCTGATGAAGGGTTAACATCCAAAATACATTAGAAACTCTCAATAGCAAAAAAAATAAAATAAAAAAATAAGATTTAAAAATAAGCAAAGAATATGAATAAACATTTCTCAAAAGAAGACATTGAAGTGGCCAACAGGCATATGAAAAAATGCTTAACACTGGTGGGTGCAGTGGCTCACGCCTGTAATCCCAGCACTTTCGGAGGCTGAGACGGGTGGATCACGAGGTCAAGAGATTCAGACTATCCTGGCTAACACAGTGAAACCCTGTCTCTACAAAAAATGCAAAAATTAGCTGGGCATGGTGGCACACACATGTAGTCCTAGCTACTTGGGAGGCTGAGGCAGGAGAATTACCTGGGCCCGGGAAGCGGAGGTTGCAGTGAGCTGAGATCGCACCATTGTACTCCAGCCTGGGCAACAGAGCAAGACTCTGTCTCAAAAAAAAAAAAAAAAAGCTTAACATCACTAATCATTAGGGAAATGCAAATTAAAGCCACAATGAGATATCACCTCACACCGGAAAGAATGGTTCTTATTGAAAAGGTAAAAGAAAAGTGTTGGTGAGGATGTGGAGAAAAGGGAACACTTGGCCAGGTGTGGTGGCTCACGCCTGTAATCCTAGCACTTTGGGAGGCTGAGGTGGGCAGATTGCCTGAGCTCAGGAGTTCAAGACCAGCCTGGGCAACATGGTGAAACCCTGTCTCTACTAAAAAATAGAAAAAAAAAGAAAAAAAAATTAGCTGGGCATGGCAGTGTGCGCCTGTAGTCCCAGTTATTTGGGAGTCTGAGGCAGGAGAATAGCTTGAACCTGTGAGGCAGAAGTTGCAGTGAGCCAAGATCTCACCATTGCACTCCAGCCTGGGTGACAGAGTGAGACGCCATCTGAAAAAAAAAAAAAGGAAACACTTGTACACTGTTGGTGGGAATGTAAATTGGTATAGCCATTATAAAAAACTGTATGGAAGTTCTTGAAAAAATTAAAAGTAGAACTACTATATGACTCAGCAATCCCACTTCTAGGTGTATGGACTAAGGACTTAAAATCAGTATGTTAAAGAGATATCTGCACTCTCATGTTCATTGTAATGTTACTTATAATAGCCAAGATGGTAAGCGTCCATCAACTGACAAATTTTTTAATGTGGTATATATACAGAATATATTCTGTATAACAGAATAACATATAGCCTTTTTAAAAAAGGCTGCTCTGGGTCGGGCGTGGTGGCTCACGCCTGTGATCCCAGCACTTTGGGAGGCCGAAGCGGGCGGATCACGAGGTCAGGAGATTGAGACCATCCTGGCTAATACGGTGAAACCCTGTCTCTACTAAAAATACAAAAAATTAGCCGGGCGTGGTGGTGGGCGCCTGTAGTCCCAGCTACTCAGGAGCCTGAGGCAGGAGAATGGTGTGAACCCAGGAGGCGGAGGTTGCAGTGAGCCAAGATAGCGCCACTGCACTCCAGCCCAGGCGACAGTGTGAGACTCCATCTCAAAAACAAAAAAAAACAAAAAAAAACGCTGTTCTGCCATGTGTAACAACATGAATGAACCTAGAGGACAGTATGCTAAGTGAAATAAGCTAGACGTTTCTAAGTGAAATAAGACAAATACTGCATATTCTCATTTATATGTGGAATCAAAAACAATCAAATTCATAGAAGCAGACAGTAGAATAGTGATTATCAGAGGCTGCAGATTGGGAGGAATAGGAAGACATCAGTCAAATAGTATAAAGTAGCAGACAGACAGAAGGAATAAATGAAAAGTTTTTAAGGTGATGGATATATTAATTAGCTTGAGTCAACTACTCCACATTGTGTATATATATCATAACATTACTTTGTACCCTATAATTATATGCAATTATAATTTGCCAAAAAAATACAATAATTTAAAAAATCATAGGATAGAACAAGGTTCTTATATTTATGGGAGGATCAGGATAAATCTTCAAATACCTTCTAGAGGTATAGTTGAGGTGAGATATGTACTGAAAGCAAAAATGGAGGCTGGGAACTAAACACCAGGCATTTCCTGTGCATGTGTCTATTCAACAATCATGCCAATCGACACTTCTTTCACTGCCTCCCACCCAAATGCAGAGAGTGCATCTGTATTGTGACCAGAGAAGTGGTTGTAAAAAGTAGGGCTACCCTGACATTTATTCACCAATATCCATGAATAAATAAATATGTACACGTAAATTTATAGATATATACATCCATACTTACATAAATAATTTTAAAAGTGTCCATTTTTACTTCAAGAGAACTAAGGATACTTTTGTAGACATTAGGGCAGATAAAAGATGGTAGATAAAGAAAAGGGAAATGAGAAGGAAACATTTCTGTAAGTGCAAGTGTTGGGGAGAAGGAGTGGGAGCTGGGGGGAAGCTGAGAATTGTGTTTTGTGACAAAGAGCATGGTTCATGGACAGTAGCACATGTGAGTCACAGAAGGACAATAAGATAGGGAGAATAAGCCAAGATGGCCCTCCAGCCAGGGTTACCAGTGTCTAGACAGAAAGCAAAGTAATAGCTCAGCAGCCGCATTGAATGGGAACAGTGAATAGTGTGAAAATGAGAAAATATTGGGGCAAGGCCACTGATTCCCACAGGATGCTCTAGTAAAGCTCTTGACTAGGCCTCCAAATTAAACATATGGCTGAGGCTAGCCCCTTCTCACTCAATGGACTCCAGTATTTGGTGAGGAAATGAGGAAAAGAGAGGTCCCGAAGCAAGTAATTGTATGAAATATCAGGATCCAGTTTTGACAAGACTGTTTGTGGATATACCAGAAGAGCAGGAGAGAGTTCCAGAAGACCCAAACATCCAGCATCCAGAAGGTCTTTTGTAACTGGTAATTAAATTATGAAGTGAGGACTGATGGGCATCATTGAGAACATGATTTGGGGGCTGTTTAACCCCTTGCTCACTAGTCAGTTCATCCTCTCTTGTTTTCTACAAAAATGTAGTTATCTGCTTCTCATAGGAGAAGCTGTTGTGGGAGCCACACAGGGTGGTAACAGTCAGCGGTAATCTGGTGAAAACAATTTTGTAGAAGGGATTGTCCCTCCTTCACATATTTCCATATATAAATCCTCACAGTCAGAAAAATATTCTTAATATCTATCTCATATCTTTTGCCGCACTTAACATTCGGTAAATTTTAACTGAGGATCCACCATATGCATGTGCACATACACATGCAATCTAGGTGGGGATATTCAATCACAAAAAGTGTGTTCAGTGCTTCCTTTGTGCAAAAGATTCTTCTAATGCTGGGGATACAAAGATTCACATGAATTAGATCCTACTTTTAAGTAGATCCTACACAGACAAAAGAGCGCATTGTAATGACAGACATATAAAATTCATATAAAAATGTCACAAGATCTACAACAGACATATCTATAAAAAATAATCAAACACAATTTGGTGTTATTAATTTTTAAGACAAAAATTTTAAAACAAAAATGGTTAAAATTAAGTATAAACTTATATTTACAACAAGAAGGAAGCATTTGTATAGATGTAAGTTCCAGAGGAAGTGAAACTCAGAACACAGAGAAAGGGTTACGTTTCAGGATGGCTAGAGACTCGCTGGGGAACAGGAACTATCATGAATAACATGTGTGCAAGAAGCAGGAGGAGTCGGGAAACGGAAATAGAGATAGAGGGGAGTCTGTTAGACTAGAATTGAAAGGCTCCCTTAAATAATGCTGGGAGATCAGAGTGGATGTGCAGAGCTGAAGTTCTAAGAAAGGCATTGAAAATTTGGCAAAGAAGTTACATCTTTTAGAAATATGTGGATGGACGCAGGAAAAAATATCAAGCAGTAAAACTTTTACAATCCAAGGTTAGTTATGAAGGATTGGACACAGAGATCAGTGTGGTGACAACAGAAATGGATGATGGGAATACCATGCTCCTTTTGCATTTCCAGATGTGCATTAGAATTGGTATTTGATGAATAAGGGAGGAACGGAAGGTCTTTTAGAAGGAATACATTTTCTTTCCTTTTGTAGGTAACACCCAAAGGGATCAATCTTCCTATCCATCTGTGTGCTGGTTCTTTCTTTCTGGTTGAGACATTTTGTAGAAAAAAGAGAGAAATTTACTGGAAATCCCCATCCCTTCACAAACAGTTGTTGCTGTTTTTTTCTATAACCAATAGGGATAAAGACTGAAGCAACATCACTTATCTCCGGCAGATACATCTGACCAGAAGGTCTTATATAAAGTCTTGGAGAGAAGCTGCAGGAGAACAGGATGACTAAATTAGGTGTTGATAAGAAAGGCTGATAACTTCCTTTGTGGAATAAATTAGGACATAAGTAGTTAGCAAATAAAGAATATTTGCAGAGTAAAGCAAAATGTGCAGTGAGGATTGGAGGAGCTGGGCATTTAGAGTGATAGGGACATAATGCCTGGTTTTCCATTCCTGTCCCTGGGTAGTATTAAAAGCACAAATAAAAAGCTATCCTGCTGCTATCTGCCTGCTATTCTTGTTATACAAGAGATGGAGACTGTCAGAGAGATCTATTATGCCAACTCTGATTGCCATAGGTTTATGCACAGACAAATGAAGGGAAAATAAAATGATGAGTTATTGTTTATTTTACACCAGGCACTGAATTTTCTACTTCCAGACACTTTGTATCATTTGATTCTCATCATAACCCTGCAGTGGATGTATGTATCACACTATGTTTTCACTTAACTGCTATATCCCCAACACATTCAATAATGTCCATCACTTATAGTATTTAATAAATATTGATAATGACTGGGTGTGGTGGTTCACACCTGTAATCCCAACACTTTGGAAGGCTGAAGCAGGCAGATCACAAGGTCAGGAGTTCGAGACCAGCCTGCCCAATATGGTGAAACCCCGTCTCTACTAAAAATACAAAAATTAGCTAGGCATAGTGGCGGGCACCTGTAGTCCCAGCTACTCAGGAGGCTGAGGCAGCAGAATCCCTTGAACCCGGGAGGTGGAGGTTGCAGCGAGCTGAGATTGCACCACTGCACTCCAGCCTGGGCAACACAGCAAGACTCTGTCTCAAATAAATACAAATAAATAAATAAATATTTATTTATTACTGGGATATGATTAGGAAACCAAATGTGTTACATTTTTAACATTGTATAGTGACATAGAACACACATATAGTAAGACATGTAAAGCATAAATGTACAACTTAATCAATCATTACAGTGCCAACATCCATGAACCCACCACCCAAATCAAGAAACAGCATGAGGCCAGCACCAGAAGCTCTCCCGTGCTTCCTCCTGTCTACATTGCTCTCCCTTCCCATCAAGACAACTCACCATCAGACTTCCATGGCAATCCCTTCATTGCTTTTCAATACACCTTCAAAATCTAATATTTATTCCTAAACATGCTTAGTAACATTATACAAATTAAACTATACAGTATGTTCTCTTTTGTGCCTATTTTGTGATCTAATAATTGTCAATTTAGTGACCCGGAAAGAATCAGCCTGTCAATAAATGCTGCTGGATCAGTTGTATATCCTTACTGAAAAAAAAAAGAAAGAAAGAAATTTGACACCTATCTCACTTTATACACAAAATTAATTCCAGTAGAAAACATATCTATCCATAAAAATCAATACAATAAAACTTCTAGAAGATGATATTAGAGAATATCTTCCTGATCTTGAAATAGAAAAATATTTTTAAAATAGAATCCAAAACTCAGAATCATAAGAAAAAGGTTCATCAGTGGTCACAAATATCATGTATCTAAAACAGGGACAGTAAGAAATTACTGGGCATAACTAGCAGGTGCCATGGGATGTGCCTGGAAAGCTTCTCATGACGACCTACCATGAGCCTATCACACTCGTGCCAGGAGCCTCTCACCAGGGGCTTCAGTGTTTGTGGTTAGGAAAAGAGAAATAAGAACAACAGCAGAATGCACCCTTAGGTACTTTGGAAGTCACAGAAGGGAAAAGGGCAGGAAAATCGGAAACATCGGCACACATGTTAATGAATGTTTGTTGTAGTTAAATTGAAGTTGAAGGAGAGGACGGAGTGAAGGACACTGGAAGCGGGGGCTCCAGGAATAGTCCTGTGATTCAGTTGGTATTTCTTGTATATAGTTCCAGTTCTTGTCAAACTTTTTGGTCACTAAACTGTTCCTTTCTATATGTTAAGGCAAGTTTCACCTCCTTTCTGACTTTAGAATAAGTTGGTAGAGGGCTTCACAGAGTGACAAACACCCATTGTCTTCTTTAGGAAGGCGATTAACTAAAACATGCACATACTTCCATAAGAAGCACAGAGTATAACTGATGATATTCAAAGAGCAAATGCTTATTGAACGTCTCCCATGTTTCAAAGAGTGCGGTAGGAGCTAAGGTTCCAGGGTGAAGATCTCATGAAGATCAATATATACCAGGAAAAAAAGACACATATACAGCATACACTCCATACACCAGGAACTTTCTGCACTATTCTCTCCTCAGTTCCTAGAAAAATGCCTGGTTCAAAATAGTTATTAATAGTTGTTGAATTAATAAACAATGTATTAAGTATAAATATAAACATTTATAAATTGGAATGAAAATACAAATGGGGGTTGGGGGTGGTGGCTCACACCTATAATCGTAGCACTTTAGGAGGCCAAGGCAGGCGGATTGCCTGAGCTCAGGAGTTCAAGACCACCCTGGGCAACATGGTGAAATCCCATTTCTACTAAAAATACAAAAAATTAGCCAGGCGTGGTGGCACACGCCTGAAATCCCAGCTACTTGGGAGGCTGAGGCATAAGAATCGCTTGAATCTAAGAGGCAGAGGTTGTTGTGAACTGAGATCGTGCCATTGCACTCCAGCCTGGGCAACAGAGTGAGGCTATCTTTGAAAAATAAAAATAAAAAAAAAGAAAGAGAGAGAGAGAGAGAGAGAGAAAGAAAGAAAAAGAAAGAAAGAAAGAAAAAAGAAAGAAGGAAGGAAAGAAAGAGTGGGTATAATTTAAAAGTAACAAAATTCAAGAATAGCAGATAAAGGATATATTCATACAGACTGGAGTATTTGGAGAAAACTTGAAAATATAGTTCATTTGCAGAAGTAAGACTTGAAGCAGAGAAGAGGAGGAAATGATTCCGAGGAACAGCAGTGGGAAAGGAACCATCATGAACTGCATGAGTGAGAGCAGTACTGGCAGCGGGGGTGGGACAGGGAGTGGGTTGATTTAGGGAAAAGCCCAGATTGACTGGAGTGAACATCTAGATTAAAGAATAGTATAGGATAAGAGAATATGCACAGAGAGGACCTGTTTTTATGAGAGGCCTTAGAAGCTGAGCAGTCACTTCTTAGGAAGGTGATGAACTGAAGTGTACAAATGTAAAACAGCAAAATCATCTGTTGGTAAGGCAAGTGTCATATAGGTAGAGGAGGAGCATCAAGGCTGGGGAGGTGACAGTGAGACTAGGGTACTGGTTTTACTGAGTGCCTTGTGTCCTTCCAAACTTGTGCAAAGTATTACTATCTAATGGGTAGAAAGAGAAAATGTGGAATTTTTTTAGACCTCTTTTCTTCTTTCAGAGATAGCATCCAAAGACTGAGTTCTCAAACCCCCAGGTTGGTTATCTATCCTGGTTCCCAGACTCTGTGCTTTAAGATGAAGCAGGTCAGTTTTCTGGACAAAGGGTCTTTATAAAAATCTCCATTACTTATCAGTTTTCTTCCTATGCAACCACTGAGTGAAGTAACATCATTTGTCTCCAGCAAATAACACTACTGCAATAGTCCCAGCATTAGTCTGGTTTTGAGACCCTGTGAAAACGTGGAGTAGGGCCAAATTATTAGTTATGTGGTGCGAGAAAGATATAATACCTGAAATTTGTAGAAAGAAACAGGTGATAGCTGTGTGGATTGACAAGAACTCTCCCCTTTTCAAGTAAGATCCAGCATGCTTAATGAATGTAGAGCGTGAATCAGGATACTTGTTCTTTTTCAGACATAGGTGGAAAGTCCCTGCCCAGGACTAAATGAAAAGAAAATTGCTTTAATGCTAGGATCTCATCACTGGTAGAAAACTAAAATCTGTGGTAGGGACAAAATTGAAAGGAAAGAAGAAACAGATTGATTAAGGGTCATCTCCCCACCTGCTGGTTATAAGAACATGCAGGGACAATGATGGAAAAGAGAATCAATGGTTCCAGGGTCTGGTTAGCCATTTTTCAATTATCTCATTTAATCTTTATAACAACTCTGAAAATAATCTTTTGTACCCCTTTTGGAGGTGATGGTAGAAACATGGGAATTATACCCTGACTTGAAAAAGATAACATTTATTCCTTTGGGGGAACATTAAAAAGTTCATACTGCTGCATTTGTGCAAATCATTCTTCAAGATTATGCATTATTAGGATAAATAGGATCTGCAGATCTTGTTTCCTAGGAGTTCAAAGCCAACATAAACTTGCTATAATACACTGCAACAAGCGCTGCAATCGATTGGTTTATAAAATACAATAAGAGCACAAATTTGTGGGTTTTCAAACATGAGCCAAATTGTTAAAATGGTTTACACACTGACCAGGCGCAGTAGCTCACGACTGTAATCTCGGCACTTTGGGAGGCAGAGACAGGTAGATCACCTGAGGTCAGGAGTTTGTGACCAGCCTGGCCAACATGGCGAAACCCAGTCTCTACTAAAAATACAAAAATTAGCTGGGTGTGGTGGCACACACCTGTAGTCCCAGCTACTTGGGAGGCTAAGGCAGGAGATTTGCTTGAGCCCGGGAGGCGGAGGTTGCAGCGGGCCGAGATCTCGCCACTGCACTCCAGCCTGGGTGACAGCGAGACTTCGTCTCAAAAATAATAATAATAATAAAATGTTTTACACACCTACATGAACCTTAAAAATTAAAGATTGGAGCTCTCTATGTGCATGAGATAGTAACACTCATTAAAAAGGGCAAGTTTGGTTAATTAAGACAGTAGAAGGGGTAGAGAAAATATAATGAAACGATATGTAAGGGAAACGAAGGATGAAAGATGCAGGCCGGGAGAGGAGTACTGTCTGATGGGAGTGAAGATTCTTCCTTCAGGAATGGAAGGGGATGCACAGAGTGAAGCCACCCAACAAAAACAAGACTTGTATAGCTACAGATGGAAGGGAAATCAACCAGGAAATTATTTTGGAAATCCCAGTGTAGTTACAAGACTAGGAAGTAATGGTTAGAATGAAGAGGTTGGATTTACTGAGCACTAATATTCTTATAATCATGCTAGGAAATATCACTTGATAAAGAGAGAAAGATGAGTCGTTTTAGAAGGAATACATCTCTCTTTTCAGAGGCAGTACCCACAGACAGTTCTCAAACCTAGTATCTGCCTCATCAGTCTCAGTTCAGGTTACTTCGTTTTGGGGAAGGCATTCCAGCTTCTTGCACTAGGCATTTCAAGAAAGAAAACCATTCCTGGAAATCCCCAACCTGTCACAGGCATGTTTCTTCAACCAATAGGAATAGAGAATGAGGCAGCATCACTTGTCTCCAGCAGATATGTCTGCTAAGAAGGTCTGATCTGATCTCACGTCTTGGGGAGGAGGCAGGGAAGGAGCAGGATTACTCATAAGTGGTGAGAAGAATGGCTACGATGTAGTTTCACGGAAAGAAATAAGATACTCCATGTGGAGAGACAAGATACCATATTTTGTAGTTGTGAAGCAGAGTAAAGACTGAGACTCTTAGTATTTAGTGTTGGTGGGGGAGAAGAGGTTACCTGATATTTTTCATGCCTCTGTGGGAAGTCCCTGGTGAGTTTTAAAAGAGAAGGGCATGACTATGACGCTGGATTCTCCCTGCTAGTGATGCATGAACACCTGTGGTGAACGAGATGGAAATGGTGAAGAAGCCCATGATCCCACCTGCTGATTGTCATAGGACAATTTGAGGGAAAGTCACATTATTATGTACTGATTATTTTGTTCTAGCAAAGTAGTACTTCCGGGTGTATTATCTCAATTAATCATTATTTTTGTTAACTGCTGAATGTTCAGTTCCCAGCACTCAATAGATATTTGTAAAATTAATAAATACATGAGTAAGTTACTAAGAATTAGCAATTTTAAGAGATCACTAAGAATTCGTGATTTTAAAGAGTGATTTTAAGAAATTGTAGTGATTTAAGAGATAATTATGAGGATTAAAATCCCGTTCTGCCTAAACTCAAAGCCCAGGAATTAAAATTATTAGTTTACTTGAGATCAGCAGGGTATCTAAAGTAAAATTCCAATACCCCTCTCATAAAAAGTCATATTTTACTTTATCAGAGCTCCTTGGGGCTCAGTTAGTGAATATAGTTACATAGTAGAATGGGAATAAAAACACGGTATTCATGGTCATGAGGTCGGAATTCTGGCACCCAACCCACACCTTGGTCAAGTAATTTTCTCTTTTGAGTGTCTGTTTCTTCATCACTAAAATTAAAGGGTTGAATTGCATAATCTCTCAGGTTAATACTTAACTCATTCCTGGACCATGATAAATACTAAAAAACATTTCATTTTTATTTCACTGTCATTAGTCATTTCAGTAACTGAAAATACAGTTCACCCTGTAAACCAAAAATAAAATTTAAGCCCTTCAACCAACTAAATGGGCCCTTCTGCTTGGCCAAGGACATTTTAAAGTAAACTTGAAACACTAGTTCAGGTCACAATGGGAAGGGGAGGTTAGACTTGCATCATTATACCTTCCTCCCTCTAGAATCGAGGCACATTTGACCCTCATTAACACTAGAACAAAGACCTTAAGACTGACCAGACTCTTTGTAGCAATAAGATACCAACGTGACAGATAGCATGCCCTGAAAGAAATCAAAGTATTTTATCACAAAATATATTTATTTGACATATTTTGAAATGGCCCTGCAAAGCTGTCTCTTGTGGGGAAAATCTACATTCTGTAGAAAATCTTCTTTCCTTTCCAGGTCTTTCCCTTGATCCAGGAGAGAATTATCTAAGCATCTGGCACTTTCTTTTTTTTTTTTTTTTTGAGACAGAGTCTCACCCTGTCTCCCAGGCTGGAGTGCAGTGGCTCAATCTCGGCTCACTGCAACCTCTGCTGCCTCCTGTGTTCTAAACGATTCTCCTGCCTCAGCCTCCCTAGTAGCTGGAATTACAGGCGCTCAACACCATGCCCGGCTAATTTTTTAATTTTAGTAGAGATGGGGTTTCACCTTGTTGGCCAGGCTGGTCTTGAACTCCTGACCTCAGGTGATCCACTGCCTCGGCCTCCCAAAGTGTTGGGATTACAGGCGTAAGCCACCACGCCTGGCCCATCTGGCACCTTTTTAAGTTTGATAAGAAACATTTACAATCTAGTCTGTCTGAAGTCTACTACTTGGAGGCTTCATCTGCATGATGAATAACAACCTTAGTCTTCACAACCTCTTATCTTAACCTAGACACTTCCTTCTACTGAATCCACATCTTTAGATAAATTCTCAAACAATAGCCAACCAGAAAATCTTTGAATCCACCTGTGTCCTGGAAGCCCCTACTTCAAGTTGTCTCCTTTCTGGACCAAACCAATGTACATCTTACATGTATTGATTGATGTCTTATGTCTCCCTAAAATTTATAAAACCAAGCTGTAGCCCAACCACCTTGGGCACATGTTCTCAGGATCTTCTAGAACTGTGCCAGAGGCCACTGGTCACTCATATTTGGCTCAAAATAAATCTCTTCAAATATTTTACAGAGTTTGACTCTTTTTGTCGACAACTTAATGCGGGGGTTAGGGACACCAATGCCCAACACAGTCAAAAATCTTCATATAACTTTTGACTCCCTAAAGACTACCAATAGCCTACTGTTGACCAGAGGTTTTACCAATAACATAAACAGTTTAGTCATACATATTTGTATGTTATATTTATTATATACTATATTCTTATAATAAAATGAGCTAGCAAAAAGGAAATATTAAGAAAATAATAAATAAAATAAATTTACAGTACTGTACTGTGTTTATCGATACTGTAAGTTTACATGAGCTGGTTTACAAGACAAACCATGTGTCTAAAATCATGAAGAACTGCAGCTGCAGACCTCACTCTATGGTATATATCAAATAATTCAACTTTTTCCTGTAATGCCAGGACTTTTCTCTGCTCCTTGGGAGCACTTCAGCATCACTAGTGGCACTTTGTATAGATCCCATGATGTTATTCAAGGTTTACAACATAACGCTAAACATGAAAAATATACGAGAACCATAAGAGATCACTTTTTACTGCAATACACAATTTATGATGATTAGCATCAGGAGGCATTTTACGCACATACCTGCAACACTCGGACTCACCACAGCAGCAACAGAAGGTGGCTATGAAGTTATTACAGTAATGTCCTATGTATTATAGTTATTCAATGCAGTTGTGACTCAATACTGTATCTTTATGTTTGTTTCCATGTCTCTCCACTGTGAATGGCATTATGTATGGTCTGTAAGTGCATAACTTTTCATAAGTTTTAATTTTTTATAACAGATTTGTGTATATTTTATGGTAGTAAATTATAAAAACATACTAGTATCTACATATGTTTTATGAGTTCATGACATACCTAACTTTAACAAAGTTTTCAATATTTCTAGGCTACATGATTCATCTGTGGGTTTTTTTGCAAACTGTCATGTATCTCCAAAAAATTTCAAATATATTTATTTTTAAAAATCAACCCATAAGAGGACCCATGCAATTCAAACTTGTGTTGTTCAAAAGTGAGCTGTAATTACAAAAAGGAGAAAATAATTTTCTGAAACTGATTTCAACAAAAATAAAGATAAAATATTTTAATTATCCTAAAGAAAAATAATTCCCCAATATGACTAAACAATGTTAACTAATAAAAACAGTCCTTTGTGGATTCTTTTTCAAGTACTCCTTAGAGGCAAGACAAGAACATTATTTGTTGAAACCATTTTGGGAGTAATTATGCTCAGTGAAATTCAATTAGCCAGTACATTGATAGTACCATTTGCACTTAACATAGAATTATGGAATGGGATCTTTACTCTTTGACTAAGAAATATAAGTCTCACAAATTAGGCAAGAAACATTGTAGCTTAGTTTTTCATCATTATATACTCATGAACTTTCCAACTCACTTCCTGAAAAACTGGCCACATAGCTACAATTATTTGTCACCCCCTTGGTAACTTCATGTGGATACTCTGCTGAAAGCCTGGCATGGTCCCTGTGCTTCCAGTGCACAACTTCCTAATATTCTGTGCTTGCCAATTCCTAAGTAAGGGTGAAAAAGTTGAAACTCCTTGTCTTTTGTATGAAGCAGTAGTTGGAAAAGTGTGTCACACCTCATGCAGGAAGCTATAGACCTAAGTAGGGTTTATTGAGATGTCCTATAGATCTCCCTAGAATATAGAAATTCCTGTCAAGGGAGAAGAGGAATAACCAAGTGATCTGCCATTTTCATTGTTGGAAAAAAATATCAGTATTCATGTAAAAGAGGTCTACTTTATGAGTTAAGTCTTGGTCCAAAAGGAAACCTCCATATACATGCAATGTAAGTAGGGATTGGTCAATACTTTCTCGGGTGAATTCTCAAGTACAAGAGAATATTTTAACTGCAACACTGCCTCATTGGTGTCAATACCCAGCTATCTTTCAGTGGGGCTACTGGTTGTTGGAGCAGGTACAGACTTCCAAAATCCAAGTGAAGAAAAAGTACAGTGAGTCATATTCTTTTTTATTTAAAAAAATAAAAATTAACACACTACTTTTCTTATAATACTAGTAACACCTGCCCAATAAGGAAAGATTGGAAGTCTACAAAATTAATAGAGACAAATTAATCTGTCATTTCTTCATTGTGAGATAATCACTATGGGATCCACTCTCCAATGCAACTGATTTTTAAAAAATTAAAGCCTCTGAAAAGCCTCTTAAGGACAAACAGCAATAATGAGACATCTGTTCAAGAAAATCTCTGAAAATTGGCAAGAAAAGCAAGAGTCTGTGGTATTTGAACCAAGACTATACCCTCCCTCTCTCCTGCATGCCAGCTCAGTGAGGTCAGTAAGGCATAGACTCCACTCTAGATTGCTACAGCCCAGAGCACAGGCCTCCCTCTCCCCACAGCTCCATATCAGAGCGCTTTATTTCTAGGAAGGGCAGGAATTCAGAATCCCTCATCCTGCCCCCAGCTACCTGTTGCTGAGACTATGTCCGAGACAAGTGCAGTTGAGAAGTGAGAGGACCGTTCTTCTGCCCAACTCCCACTTGTGGAATGGAGAGTCTGCCTTGGGTGTGGTATGCTAAGACTACTGGGGCCCTAATAACCCTTTACCTTGCTCATGAGGGAATGGCTCCACTGCAGGAGAGGCAAGCCAATAGGACAGCAGGCTGCTGGCCACACCCTCCACTCAGTGCTCAGCTCCTAGAATTGAGGAGTCACTCAGAGAGAAGCTTGCCACAGTTACACCCAGCTCCAGAGCCCTGACTTAGAGAGTTTGCCTGGGAGGAAAGGCAATATATTAGGAATGTATTTTAGGAACATAGAATATATTTTATATCTATTCTATATAAAATAGAATAGATATCCTAATGTATTCCCAAAGGAAGTAACTTCATGTGGAACAGAGCATGGAGAAGTTTAAACCTAAGGGCACTCTCAATTACAGTAGAGGTTGTGGTGAAAAGCAGTTGGGAGATTTGTGCATCTAATGCAGGTACAGCTTAGACTGTAGGCTGGTTAGTTTACAGAAGAGAACTGGAGAATAAAATAGGTGGGAAGAGCCCTCCCGAAGTAAAACAAATATCAAACACTGACCTCAGAAACTATTTCATAGAAGGACTCACTATTTTATTGGATTACTTTGTAGAGGAATTTTGCCCCAGGGCATTATTGAAAAGAGTGGTAATTAATGGACTTCAGTGGCTGGGTTGGTGAGGGAAAGAGTGAAAAAGAGTCCTACAGGACCACTGTCATTCCAGGGTAACCTTGGATATACTCAAAGCTGTGCCTCCTTGAGGTAACATCAAAAGCTTAACACTGTGGGATGAGGAGATGAAGATAGACTTTATTAAAATAATCCAGACAATCATTGTTAATCACATAAACAAACAAGCAAATAAGAATAACAAGCACAATATGGGGGTAGTACCCAGAGTTTCTATAATATAGTTCCTAAAATGTTCATTTTTCCACAAAAATTATGAGCTATGCAAAGAAACAAAAAAGTGTGACCAATACACCAGAAAAATAGAAGGCAGAAGAAATTGCTTGAGAGAACAAATTTAACACAAAAATATTTAAAGTAGCCACTATACATATGTTTAAATATATTCAATATTTTCGTCAGGATTCTCCAGAGAAACAGAGACAAAAAGATATGTATGGTGATTGACTCGCTCAATTATGGATGCCAAGAAGTGCCACAATATGCCATCTGCAAGTAGGAGACCCAGGAAAGCAGGTGGTGTAATTCGGTGAGAGTCAGAAGGGTTGAGGATCAAGGGAGCCAATGGTACAACTCCCAGTCTGAGGCCAAAGGCCTGAGAACCAGGACACGGGCTGGAGTCATGGCAGGAGGAGGGGAAGAAGGAGCTCTGGTGTCCAGGGGTAGAAGTAGATGTATGTCCCAGCTCAGAGAGAAAGAGAATTCACCCTTCCTCCACCTTTTTGTTCTATTTGGGTCCTCAATGGACTGAATGATGCCCACCCATATTAGTAAGGGATATCTACTTTATTCAGTCTTCTGATTCAAATACTAAGATATTCTGGAAACACCCTCACAGTCACACTCAGAAACAATGTTTTACCAGCTATCTGGGCATCCCTCAGCCAACTCAAGTTGATACATAACATTATCCATTACATTCATAGACCTAAAGGAAAGGATGACTAAAGAAGTGAAGGAAGGTGTGATGGCACCGTTGCATCAAAGAGAGAATAACAAGAGGAGGTGCAGCTGGGCTTCCTGGGTCGAGTAGGGGCTCAGAAAGCTGTGAAACTCACTCATTTCCTGCATCAGGACTTACTTCAGTCCTGGATGAATAACACTGAAGATATATGCTTAAATATTCCTAACACCCGGATTTGTATATGTGTTTTCTTCCCCAAGAAAGCTATAAACAGCGAAAATTTTGCTGTAAGTTGCCCTGTGTCTCTCTCCCTCTCTCCCTTCCCCCTCCCCCAAAACTAAAGATAAAAGGAATGTTAACTGCCCATTTTTCTGTGACCAGCAAACCTTATCTAACTTCCCAATTCCAATTCCTTGTGAACATACTTTATAAAGTCCTGTAAGATCCTGTCTCTTTTGCTATGCCACTACGAGGTCATAAAGTAAATAAAACCTAGGTTGCAATTCCGGTTTTCCTCAAGATCTAAGACATGGAACAAAATAATTTACTGCCTTTGTTTCTCACTCTGGTAACATCTTCCCACCGCACGTATTTCCCCCCTTAAAGAGTTTAAAAGGCAATCACCCAAAACCAGCAGTGGCTACCCGTTTAGGATCCCTTCCACACTGTGGAAGCTTTGTACTTTCACTCTGCTCAATAAAGCCTACAGCTTTTTCTCTCTATTGGTCCGTGTCTCTATCACTCACGGCACGCAGCCGCCACACCAATTCTTTGGCGTGGCTAAGGCAAGAACCTTTGGCGTTACAACAATAGCGATAATAGTTAGTTGTCTTAGTCCGTTCAGCTGCTATAACAAAATGCCTTAGACTAGGTAATTTATAAACAACAGAAATTTATTGCTTACAGTTCTGGAGGCTTGGAAATCCAAGATCGAAGAACCAGCAAATTCAGTGTCTGGCAAGGGCTTACTGTCTGTTTCCCAGACAGTGCGTTCCACCTGTGTTTTCATACAGTGGAAGTGGTAAATAAGCTCCTTCAGCTTCTTTTACAAGAGTACTATTTCCATTAATGAGGACTCTACCCTCATAACCTAATCACCTCTCAAAGATCCCACCTCTTAATATCACACACTAGAAAATGGGAATTGAGCTTCAAAATATAAATCTGGGGGCCGGAGACACAAATATTTAGACAATAGTATAATAAAAACGAACTAAATAGAAATTATGGAGTTGTTAAGTACAATAATTGAAATAAAAATTCACTAGAGGGGGCTCAACCATAGGTTTGACCTAGCAGAAGAAAGAATTGTAGAATAAAGTTTAAACTATATTTCAAAAAAAGATTTTGGTAGGTCTATGCCATGCTTCTTCCTCATTATCTCTGCCTTTTAAAATCCAAAGACATTTTCAAAGTATATTTAATTGTAACATTTCTCTTATGCATTATTCTCTAAATGTACATAATTTATTTTTTTCTAAGAAACCACCTACTACTTAACATTATAAATGGGTACTTCTTTTGTGTCCCATTAGACCATAAGCCCCTTAAGTTTAGGCCTGTTGTTTCCACAAGTCTGCATCTCCCACCATGCCTAGAAAATGGCCTTGATTCAAAAAATATTTCTTGTGTCTTTAAACAAATTGAGTTGAATTCAACACAGAGGGGTGTTTCTCTACAACTCTACACTGACCCTACATTCTCTAGTGTTTTCATATTACACTTACCTCCAACACATTTAATTGTTCCTGGTCTTGCTCTTCTTCAGTCATAAGTTACAGCTAACAAATGAATTATATAAAAACAATAACTGGCGGGGCGTGGTGGCTCACAATTGTAATCCCAGCACTTTTGAAGGCCGAGGTGGGTGGATCATGAGGTCAGGAGATTGAGACCATCCTGGCTAACATGGTGAAATCCCGTCTTTACTAAAAATACAAAAAAATAGCCGGGCATGGTGGCGGGCGCCTGTAGTCCCAGCTACTCAGGAGGCTGAGGCAGGAGAATGGTGTGAACCTGGGAGGAGGAGCTTGCAGTGAGCCGAGATCACGCCACTGCACTCCAGCCTGGGCGACAGAGCAAGACTCCATCTCAAAAAAAACCCAAAAAACAAAAAAACAATAACCACTGCTTCCTATATTACCTTATTCTCATGTGTGCTTTTTTAGGTACAGATTTCTAGGGATTAATTCAAACACAAGGAATTGCATCTGGAAATTTAGAAGCTGGAATTCTCTAATGATAGAGACTGCCTTGTAATTCTTGTCTGGCCATGACTAGCATTGTCTTTAGTCAAGATGCAAATGTATACTTCCTTTCCCATTTGTCTATAAGCTCAATCACATGTAGATAAGTCAACTTATCATGTAATATAAATGGTTGCAAAAGAAGGGTACCAGGGCTTTGGAATTAGGCAGAACTTAGTTTAAATTTTACTCTGCTATATCCTGGATGTCTGACTTTGAGCAATTTTAATGGTCTCTCTGAATCTCAACATTTTAACCTACACAATATGTTAAGCAAGTCGTACATCAACAAATAATTGTACAACATTAAAATTAAAGTTAGGTATGCTATCTATAAATCTAACAAGTTATAGAGGTCTGTTACATCAGGGTTTTACATTGAACTAAATGAAATTGATCAAAATTGTTTTTGATCAAAAACAGATGATTGTTGGTAATTTTAGGTAGTTTAATTTAATTTAACACTTCATTAAAAGACATTAGAGACTGGGCATGGTGGCTCATGCCTGTAATCCCAGCACTTCGGGAGGCCAAGGCGGTGGATCACTTGAGGCCAGGAGTTCAAGACCGGCCTGGCCAACATAGTGAGACCTTGTCTCTACTAAAATTACAAAAATTAGCCGGGCATGATGGTGTGAGCCTGTAATCCCAGCTACTCAGGTGAGTGAGACACAAGACTTGCTGGAACCTGGGAGTCGGAGGTTGCAGTGAGTCCAGATCGTGCCACTGTACTCCAGCCTCCAGACAGTGAGATTCTGTCAAAAAATAATAATAATAATTAGAGATACCTACGTAAATGGAAATATATACTATATTCATGAATAAAATATCCAAAAAATAAACACAATTTTTCTCTGAGTTAATCTATAGAGCCAATGCAGTTCTACTCAAAATCCTAACATAATATTGTGCAATCACTATGCTGATTATAAATAATTATAGAAAAGCAATTGTTTAAGACTAGCCTACAAGTTAGTTACACATGCAAATAAACAGTTTGGTTTCTTTACTAGTTATACATAGAAAGAAACAGGTTGGTAAGATTTTGCCCAGCTAGTCCTCAATTTATTATCAGACTTAAGTATAAATAGGAGAATTGTATTGATGCATGGATAGACCTATAGACAAATGAACAGAAACAGCAGGCCCAGAACCAACTCACTCATATGTAAAATCATATTTATGTTGGAGTTGGCATTGGAATTTACTTATGAAATAGTGCAGTAAGTCATCCTGAGAGAATTTGTTATCCAGACAGAAAACTCAACGTTGGATTCATACAACACAGTATCCACAAAAATCAATTCAATTCAGACTAATCAAATGTGAACAGGAACCATGATGAACTATCATCTTATCCCAGTTGGAATGCCTACTATCAAAAAGGCAAAAAAAAAAAAAAAATGCTGGTAAGGAGGAGGGTAAAAGGGAACTTTTATACACCATTAGTAGGAATGTAAATTAGTACAGCCATTATGGGAAACTGTATGGAGGTTTCTCAAAAAACTAAAAATAGAGCTATCATATCATCCAGCAATCCCATTACAGAATATTTAGCCAAAGGAAAGGTAATTTTTAAATTTTTTAAATAGAAAATTTAGATTATTTTATGAACTGAAGTAGGGAAGTATTTCTTAACAAGGATGAAATAACAAAAAAAGTAAAAATTTTAATAAATATACTTTAATACATATTTTTAAAAATGTAATCAAAATATACTTTAAAAATATGACAAAAATTGGAAGAAGTTATTTTTAATACATATAATATAGGAAAATTAAATTGTAAAAACTAAAATTTAAGTCTTATAAGCTTATATCTATCTTTACATATGATATTTTTATATTTATAAAAATAATAAGAAATTCAGTGCCACTCCAGGGATGAGAGCTAGCTTATGAAAAGGAAGCACAGCAGGTCAATACATAATGTGAAAAGATTTCTACCCTTATTAGTAATCAGATAAACACATTTCAAATCATTAGGAAATATCATTTAATTCTCAAGAGATGGGCAAAATGAAGTCTGACAATAATTTATTGGCAAGAAAATTCATTAGTGTGAACAATTAAACACTTCTAGTGGGGGTTGAAATTTATACAGCTAGTTATAATAAAGTTGTAAACACAAATATAGTGCATAGAACTTCTAGTCTTAGGCATTTGTTCTAAAGAAACATTAGGTATGTGGACAAGGAAGCATGCACAGGGATGTTAACAGAGGTGTAGGTCATAGTAGCAAACAGAAAGAAAAACAGAAATAACTAGAATTCTATCATGGGAAAGTTTCTCAGAAGCAAAATTCCTGCACCCTTGGTTATGGATCCACAGAGGCTTCATGTGAAGGGGGCATTCAGATCAAATGCTCAAAGTGGAGTAAGATATCATTGTCTTTCACAGAATCACTTAATAGACTGCAGCAGATCTCCCTTGACCAACCCCCCGAAACCAGTCAAATTCTTCATTTTCCCCAAAGTGAGGACTCCCACATTAAGAAGCCCTCAGTACTGAGATAACTAGCAGATAAATTTTTCCATTGCAAGGGTGGTCTTGATGCAGGGCCAGCAAACCTCAAAATTGGGGCTTTGCCCAAGAGTGTTCTTGGCTTCACTAGGGAAAGATTCCAAGGATGAGACAGTGGTGTTAGACAGCAAATTTTATGGAACTAAGCTACTCCTTGAAGAGCAGGGTTACCCCATAGGCAGTGTGCCCAGAATAGTAGCTCAGAGGCAGTTCTGCAGTCATATTTATACCCACTTTTAATTATATACAAATTAAGAGGTGGACTATGCAGAAGTTTCTAGAAATAGGGTAGAAATTTCTGCATAATCCACCCCTTAATTTATAGATGGTACGGAGCCAAGATGGCCGAATAGGAACAGCTCCGGTCTACAGCTCCCAGCGTGAGCGACGCAGAAGACGGGTGACTTCTGCATTTCCATCTGAGGTACCGGGTTCATCTCACTAGGGAGTGCCAGACAGTGGGCGCAGGCCAGTGTGTGTGCGCACCGTGCGCGAGCCGAAGCAGGGCGAGGCATTGCCTCACCTGGGAAGCGCAAGGGGTCAGGGAGTTCCCTTTCCGAGTCAAAGAAAGGGGTGACGGACGCACCTGGAAAATCGGGTCACTCCCACCCGAATATTGCGCTTTTCAGACCGGCTTAAGAAACGGCGCACCACGAGACTATATCCCACACCTGGCTCAGAGGGTCCTACGCCCACGGAATCTCACTGATTGCTAGCACAGCAGTCTGAGATCAAACTGCAAGGCGGCAGCGAGGCTGGCGGAGGGGCGCCCGCCATTGCCCAGGCTTGCTTAGGTAAACAAAGCAGCCGGGAAGCTCGAACTGGGTGGAGCCCACCACAGCTCAAGGAGACCTGCCTGCCTCTGTAGGCTCCACCTCTGGGGGCAGGGCACAGACAAACAAAAAGACAGCAGTAACCTCTGCAGACTTAAGTGTCCCTGTCTGACAGCTTTGAAGAGAGCAGTGGTTCTCCCAGCATGCAGCTGGAGATCTGAGAACGGGCAGACTGCCTCCTCAAGTGGGTCCCTGACCCCTGACCCCCGAGCAGCCTAACTGGGAGGCACCCCCCAGCAGGGGCACACTGACACCTCACACGGCAGGGTATTCCAACAGACCTGCAGCTGAGGGTCCTGTCTGTTAGAAGGAAAACTAACAAACAGAAAGGACATCTACACCGAAAACCCATACGTACATCACCATCATCAAAGACCAAAAGTAGATAAAACCACAAAGATGGGGAAAAAACAGAACAGAAAAACTGGAAACTCTAAAACGCAGAGCGCCTCTCCTCCTCCAAAGGAACGCAGTTCCTCACCAGCAACAGAACAAAGCTGGATGGAGAATGATTTTGATGAGCTGAGAGAAGAAGGCTTCAGACGATCAAATTACTCTGAGCTACGGGAGGACATTCAAACCAAAGGCAAAGAAGTTGAAAACTTTGAAAAAAATTTAGAAGAATGTATAACTAGAATAACCAATACAGAGAAGTGCTTAAAGGAGCTGATGGAGCTGAAAACCAAGGCTCGAGAACTACGTGAAGAATGCAGAAGCCTCAGGAGCCGATGCGATCAACTGGAAGAAAGGGTATCAGCAATGGAAGATGAAATGAATGAAATGAAGCGAGAAGGGAAGTTTAGAGAAAAAAGAATAAAAACAAATGAGCAAAGCCTCCAAGAAATATGGGACTATGTGAAAAGACCAAATCTACGTCTGATTGGTGTACCTGAAAGTGATGTGGAGAATGGAACCAAGTTGGAAAACACTCTGCAGGATATTATCCAGGAGAACTTCCCCAATATAGCAAGGCAGGCCAACGTTCAGATTCAGGAAATACAGAGAACGCCACAAAGATACTCCTCGAGAAGAGCAACTCCAAGACACATAATTGTCAGATTCACCAAAGTTGAAATGAAGGAAAAAATGTTAAGGGCAGCCAGAGAGAAAGGTCGGGTTACCCTCAAAGGAAAGCCCATCAGACTAACAGCGGATCTCTCGGCAGAAACCCTACAAGCCAGAAGAGAGTGGGGGCCAATATTCAACATTCTTAAAGAAAAGAATTTTCAACCCAGAATTTCATATCCAGCCAAACTAAGCTTCATAAGTGAAGGAGAAATAAAATACTTTATAGACAAGCAAATGCTGAGAGATTTTGTCACCACCAGGCCTGCCCTAAAAGAGCTCCTGAAGGAAGCGCTAAACATGGAAAGGAACAACCGGTACCAGCCGCTGCAAAATCATGCCAAAATGTAAAGACCATCGAGACTAGGAAGAAACTGCATCAACTAATGAGCAAAATCACCAGCTAACATCATAATGACAGGATCAAATTCACACATAACAATATTAACTTTAAATATAAATGGACTAAATTCTGCAATTAAAAGACACAGACTGGCAAGTTGGATAAAGAGTCAAGACCCATCAGTGTGCTGTATTCAGGAAACCCATCTCACGTGCAGAGACACACATAGGCTCAAAATAAAAGGATGGAGGAAGATCTACCAAGCCAATGGAAAACAAAAAAAGGCAGGGGTTGCAATCCTAGTCTCTGATAAAACAGACTTTAAACCAACAAAGATCAAAAGAGACAAAGAAGGCCATTACATAATGGTAAAGGGATCAATTCAACAAGAGGAGCTAACTATCCTAAATATTTATGCACCCAATACAGGAGCACCCAGATTCATAAAGCAAGTCCTCAGTGACCTACAAAGAGACTTAGACTCCCACACATTAATAATGGGAGACTTTAACACCCCACTGTCAACATTAGACAGATCAACGAGACAGAAAGTCAACAAGGATACCCAGGAATTGAACTCAGCTCTGCACCAAGCAGACCTAATAGACATCTACAGAACTCTCCACCCCAAATCAACAGAATATACATTTTTTTCAGCACCACACCACACCTATTCCAAAATTGACCACATAGTTGGAAGTAAAGCTCTCCTCAGCAAATGTAAAAGAACAGAAATTATAACAAACTATCTCTCAGACCACAGTGCAATCAAACTAGAACTCAGGATTAAGAATCTCACTCAAAGCCGCTCAACTACATGGAAACTGAACAACCTGCTCCTGAATGACTACTGGGTACATAACGAAATGAAGGCAGAAATAAAGATGTTCTTTGAAACCAACGAGAACAAAGACACCACATACCAGAATCTCTGGGACGCATTCAAAGCAGTGTGTAGAGGGAAATTTCTAGCACTAAATACCTACAAGAGAAAGCAGGAAAGATCCAAAATTGACACCCTAACATCACAATTAAAAGAACTAGAAAAGCAAGAGCAAACACATTCAAAAGCTAGCAGAAGGCAAGAAATAACTAAAATCAGAGCAGAACTGAAGGAAATAGAGACACAAAAAACCCTTCAAAAAATCAATGAATCCAGGAGCTGGTTTTTTGAAAGGATCAACAAAATTGATAGACTGCTAGCAAGACTAATAAAGAAAAAAAGAGAGAAGAATCAAATAGACACAATAAAAAATGATAAAGGGGATATCACCACCAATCCCACAGAAATACAAACTACCATCAGAGAATACTACAAACACCTCTACGCAAATAAACTAGAAAATCTAGAAGAAATGGATACATTCCTCGGCACATACACTCTCCCAAGACTAAACCAGGAAGAAGTTGAATCTCTGAATAGACCAATAACAGGCTCTGAAATTGTGGCAATAATCAATAGTTTACCAACCAAAAAGAGTCCAGGACCAGATGGATTCACAGCCGAATTCTACCAGAGGTACAAGGAGGAACTGGTACCATTCCTTCTGAAACTATTCCAATCAATAGAAAAAGAGGGAATCCTCCCTAACTCATTTTATGAGGCCAGCATCATTCTGATACCAAAGCCGGGCAGAGACACAACCAAAAAAGAGAATTTTAGACCAATATCCTTGATGAACATTGATGCAAAAATCCTCAATAAAATACTGGCAAACCGAGTCCAGCAGCACATCAAAAAGCTTATCCACCATGATCAAGTGGGCTTCATCCCTGGGATGCAAGGCTGGTTCAATATACGCAAATCAATAAATGTAATCCAGCATATAAACAGAGCCAAAGACAAAAACCACATGATTATCTCAATAGATGCAGAAAAAGCCTTTGACAAAATTCAACAACCCTTCATGCTAAAAACTCTCAATAAATTAGGTATTGATGGGACGTATTTCAAAATAATAAGAGCTATCTATGACAAACCCACAGCTAATATCATACTGAATGGGCAAAAACTGGAAGCATTCCCTTTGAAAACTGGCACAAGACAGGGATGCCCTCTCTCACCGCTCCTATTCAACATAGTGTTGGAAGTTCTGGCCAGGGCAATCAGGCAGGAGAAGGAAATAAAGGGTATTCAATTAGGAAAAGAGGAAGTCAAATTGTCCCTGTTTGCAGACGACATGATTGTTTATCTAGAAAACCCCATCGTCTCAGCCCAAAATCTCCTTAAGCTGATAAGCAACTTCAGCAAAGTCTCAGGATACAAAATCAATGTACAAAAATCACAAGCATTCTTATACACCAACAACAGACAAACAGAGAGCCAAATCATGGGTGAACTCCCATTCACAATTGCTTCAAAGAGAATAAAATACCTAGGAATCCAACTTACAAGGGATGTGAAGGACCTCTTCAAGGAGAACTACAAACCACTGCTCAAGGAAATAAAAGAGGACACAAACCAATGGAAGAACATTCCATGCTCATGGGTAGGAAGAATCAATATCGTGAAAATGGCCATACTGCCCAAGGTAATTTACAGATTCAATGCCATCCCCATCAAGCTACCAATGACTTTCTTCACAGAATTGGAAAAAACTACTTTAAAGTTCATATGGAACCAAAAAAGAGCCCGCATTGCCAAGTCAATCCTAAGCCAAAAGAACAAAGCTGGAGGCATCACACTACCTGACTTCAAACTATACTACAAGGCTACAGTAACCAAAACAGCATGGTACTGGTACCAAAACAGAGATATAGATCAATGGAACAGAACAGAGCCCTCAGAAATAATGCCGCATATCTACAACTATCTGATCTTTGACAAACCTGAGAAAAACAAGCAATGGGGAAAGGATTCCCTATTTAATAAATGGTGCTGGGAAAACTGGCTAGCCATATGTAGAAAGCTGAAACTGGATCCCTTCCTTACACCTTATACAAAAATCAATTCAAGATGGATTAAAGATTTAAACGTTAAACCTAAAACCATAAAAACCCTAGAAGAAAACCTAGGCATTACCATTCAGGACATAGGCATGGGCAAGGACTTCATGTCCAAAACACCAAAAGCAATGGCAACAAAAGACAAAATTGACAAATGGGATCTAATTAAACTAAAGAGCTTCTGCACAGCAAAAGAAACTACCATCAGAGTGAACAGGCAACCTACAACATGGGAGAAAATTTTCGCAACCTACTCATCTGACAAAGGGCTAATATCCAGAATCTACAATGAACTCAAACAAATTTACAAGAAAAAAACAAACAACCCCATCAAAAAGTGGGCGAAGGACATGAACAGACACTTCTCAAAAGAAGACATTTATGCAGCCAAAAAACACATGAAGAAATGCTCATCATCACTGGCCATCAGAGAAATGCAAATCAAAACCACTATGAGATATCATCTCACACCAGTTAGAATGGCAATCATTAAAAAGTCAGGAAACAACAGGTGCTGGAGAGGATGCGGAGAAATAGGAACACTTTTACACTGTTGGTGGGACTGTAAACTAGTTCAACCATTGTGGAAGTCAGTGTGGCGATTCCTCAGGGATCTAGAACTAGAAATACCATTTGACCCAGCCATCCCATTACTGGGTATATACCCAAATGAGTATAAATCATGCTGCTATAAAGACACATGCACACGAATGTTTATTGCGGCACTATTCACAATAGCAAAGTCTTGGAACCAACCCAAATGTCCAACAATGATAGACTGGATTAAGAAAATGTGGCACATATACACCATGGAATACTATGCAGCCATAAAAAATGATGAGTTCATATCCTTTGTAGGGACATGGATGAAATTGGAAACCATCATTCTCAGTAAACTATCGCAAGAACAAAAAACCAAACACCGCATATTCTCACTCATAGGTGGGAATTGAACAATGAGATCACATGGACACAGGAAGGGGAATATCACACTCTGGGGACTGTGGTGGGGTCGGGGGAGGGGGGAGGGATAGCATTGGGAGATATACCTAATGCTAGACGACACATTAGTGGGTGCAGCGCACCAGCATGGCACATGTATACATATGTAACTAACCTGCACAATGTGCACATGTACCCTAAAACTTAGAGTATAATAATAAAAAAAAAAAAATTTATAGATGGTAACTCCAATTACCACTTCAATGACCCCAGTGGGTCATTATTGCCATGGAAAGAAGTGGTAACCTCTGGGTGTTGCCATGGCAATGGTAAACTGACATGGCAAACTGGTAGGCATGTCTTACGGAGAGGTGCTTCTGCCCCATCCCTGTTTTAGTTAATTTGATCTGGTGTCTGAGCCCCACCTACTACTTCAGTCTTGTGACCCCCAGATTCCCCAGTTGATAAGAAGATGCGTGAGTAAAGGAGGAAATTGAGAGATGCTTCCTTTCAGTGTCCAAGTGTCAAAAAGGATTCCTAGTCTTAATTAAAATTTAGATATAAGAAATCTACTGAAAGAAAGTGATTACAGAATTTACAAGTTGACTTGGTGATGCCTCAGCAAGAGCGAGAAAGATACAACAAACTACAAGACAGAAAATCCACGAGAGCTAAAAATGAGCATTTTGTGGTACCAATCTTGCTGTAAAAGCCTTAATATTTTGTGTATCTTTCTCAGCACTAGACTAGAACATATATGCCAATGGGTAGGAGACACATCTGTCACTGGTAAAGTTGCATAACAATTCACAATCCTATTCTCATACCCAAGTTACCACTAAACATTGCTCTTGAGTCAGTAGCTGCATTTGCCACCCTGGCTCAAAATATCAGCCATCACATTTAGTAAATTCTATCATACAAAGCAAACTAGCACTGATTTATCAGATTTACCATTGGGTGAGGTGAGGAGGAGGGCGCTGGCTGACTTAGCCCGGGCCCTGAAGAGCCCTGTTCCAGAGAATATACTTTTGCTCTTCCTCATGGCCCAGCATATGCTCAGGGCTCCAGGCATTTGCCTCCAGCAGGGGGCTCTTCCACACTCACTCACAGTTGGCTGGGTTCCAATCTCTGTTCAAGTATGAGCAATGCAGATCCAGCTCCCTGGTTAATGTAGTCCTCACTGTTCAAGCCCAGTCTCTTTCAGATGTTGAGACAGTGGCCCTAACTCTGTGTGGCTGGCCCAGAGCTGTGCACCTACCCTCACTGTCATACCACACAATTTCAGACCCTTATTGTCATGGGTTTCCCATCTACTTTTTTTTCTTCAGGGGAAACCTCCACAATGTAGTTTCTAATATGTTGAATTCATACTCCAGAAAGTGTCCTGTAGAATAATGTCTTACTGAAAACGGCCATCACAGCCAGGAGTCCTTAACTATGTTCTTTGACACCCTCAGTTACAGAGAGTTTGTTGTCATGTTCTTCACATCTTGTGTGAAGATTGTTCAAGTGTTGGCCAAAGGATATGTCACTATCTAAAATTCACATCGAGAACCTAAGAGTAACTAATAATAAGTTTGATGCTTGTAGGAAAGGAAGAGCTGTTTGGTCACAGGATGTGGTTATTAGAACAGGGTTGTGGTTGAAGGGGAAGGATGATGACATAAATCTTTGCATAAACCACATTAACATGAAACCTTGATATTATCATTACATGCTTTTCTTTTTATCTAATAAGGCAAAGTAGAGAAGTCAGCATCATTTGTCTCTGGCAGACTAAACTGTCAAGAAGGCATACCCAAGGTTAGTGGCAGGGAGAACTTCATTAGCATTAGGAATAATAGAAAATATTAAAGAATAAGTTTTGTAAGAAATATATAGACTCAACAGAAAGTAAAAAATGTACTTTACTGGAGAGAAAACAAACTATAAATGAATCATGAAGTTGGATGGAGATATAATCTATAGAATTAAAACTATTTTTATTCAAAATCTTCATGAGATTTTAAAAAAGAATATATGTTCTGAAAGTCTAGGATAAGTATACTGCCCTGTATTGTTGATGTTTTAAAGAGTAGTAGAGTGTATTATACAGCATATTATATAAAGGCGTGGGCCTGAGTTAGGCAATCTTTTTGTTTGTTGAGGTAAAATTCACATAACAAAATTAACCCATTTTAAGGTGCACAACTCAGTAGCATTTAGTGCATTCACCATGTTGTACAACCATCACTTCTATGTAGTTCCGTAACATTTTCATCACCTCCAAAGGAGACCTCGTACCCATTAAACAGTCACTCCCCATTCCCACTTCCTCCTCAGCAACCACAATCTGATTTTAGACAGGCCTTGTTTTGCATCTATGGTAGTGTAATTTCTACATCAATCTATGCAGAAGGAGCTTAGGCCCAGAATTCTGCATGGTGGGTAGGGGCTGTGGCTTGTCTTGAAGCTGGATTTGCTTGCATAGCAAATGCTTTATCTTTATTTATGTGTGTTTGGGTTATTTAAAAAAGAATGTCATAAATATTATGGCTATATTGTTAATTTTCAAAGTGTTTTTGTTGTTTTACCTATGGAGAAAAGATTAATAGCAATTTTATTTGTTTTACAAAGGGACTACCTTCTCCAATGTTTGTGAAAATAATAAGTAAAATTTTGTTTGGCTTTGTTTTGTGTATATATTTAAAGCTGTCTTGAATTTCTAATCTGTTTTAAGTTTTTCTTTTTGTTTATCCTTATTGCTCTCTTAAAATGTTTTCTGTTTCTTCATATTATTTTACATGTAAGAGCGACTGAAAAATGGTCATGAGTTTGAAGAAATCAGATGGAATTTGGGGCTAATGTTTCAGGGTCTGATTCCTTCACTGGGGGACCATGAGGGCCATAGCATGGAATTATTTTCTCTGGGCCCATTCAATTTCTTCTGAGAGGAAACTTCATGTATTTTGTTTGAGGGATAGATGCCAGCCACCTATGTGGCAGAGGTCAGAGTGGAAAAGAGGTGGGGTTAACTATTCCCCATATAATCTTTCAATTAATCTCCTGAAGTGTCCCCAAGTTTTTTTAAGAAAATGTTTAAATAAATACTATTTCAAGTGTATGGTGATGTTTTTATAGCCACTAAAGATAAGATTGTAAGAAACTGTTTAGTGATGTAGAAGATTGTCTGATCTGTGGGAAATTATCCACAGATTAAGTAAAAAAAAAAAACTACAAAGACTAATATTACAATTCTGTAAATGTATCTATACTGTGATATTTATATTTATAAAAACAGGAAGGATCTTAATGACACTCAGAAGACTAGGATTAGATGATAGAAGAACTATTACATTTTTCTCCTCCCAACAGTCTTAATAGGGCCTGCAGGTCTAAGGCGAGTGGCCTTGAAAAACCTCTGCTCAGGGAAATTTGTATGGAACATTTTAATATGGAGCATTGTGTAGAACTTCGCCTGTACTGTCCCTGTAGTGTCTTTTTTCCTCTCCTGCAGGTCTTCATGGCCCCCTGGGATCATAGCCACAAAGTTTCTGTTCTCAATTGCGCTCTCAGGTCTACTTTTCAATTCTTTTACATAACTTTACTCATCTCTACCTCTCCCTTCCCTCCAAAGGGTTCTTTTTTATCCACTGTCCTCATGGAAGTAAAACAATGACCTCACCATACCTCACAAATAAACAGAAGAAGAAAGATGTGAATCTTCCCTAAATCTAATGTCTTAAACTTGAAACCCATGAACCCTGTGGTACTCAGGTGAGCAGAGATAGAAGAGCACTACGCAGGTTCACACTCTTTTCCCTGAAGAAGGAAAAACTCAGAAAAAAACTCCAGTCTGTAGTTTTAGAGCAACTTTTGTGTGGGACCCTCCCAGACTGGAAATTTCTGGTCCCCCTCTTCTGGGGTTGGGAGCAAGCCCTGACTCTTCGGTGCCATGTAGCCTGGTCTAAGCTCAGGAACATTTCTATGGTTTTTGACAAAGCTGCAAAATTTTATTAGCCTTAACATGTTTGAATCTGTAAGATTTCTAAGTAAGTCTGACAGTAAAATTTCAGATTGTTCAGCTGACCATGAAGACTTCAAAGTGCATTCACTATTTAAATCACCTGTAGATGAATTATGCTGGACTTGACCAAGAGTGTTTATCTGTGCATAAATCAAATACAGTCGACTTTACCTATCCAAAGTTCCACATCTGTGGATTCAACCTACCATGGATTTAAAACCACGGATATGGGTTATTACAGCATTTTTTTTTTTTTTTTTGAGATGGAGTCTCACTCTGTCGCCCAGGCTGGAGTGCAGTGGCGTGATCTCGGCTCGCTGCAAGCTCTGCCTCCCGGGTTCACGCCATTCTCCTGCCTCAGCCTCCTGAGTAGCTGGGACTACAGGCACCCACCACCACGCCTGGCTAATTTTTTGTATTTTTAGTAGAGACGGGGTTTCACCGTGTTAGTCAGGACGGTCTCGGTCTCGATCTCCTGACCTCGTGATCCGCCCGCCTCAGCCTCCCAAAGTGCTGGGATTACAGGCATGAGCCACAGCGCCTGGCCTATTAAAGCATGTTATAGAAGAAACTGAGCATCCACAGATTTTGGTATCAGCTGGGGTCCTGGAACCAATCTCCTGGGGGTGCAGAGCCACAGTCAAGTATGAGAAACAAAGAGAAGAGGAAGGGCCCATTTCTGTCCATAAAGCATCTGCAGAGGAGGTCTTAATCAGCTTCATTAATGCAAATTTCCACCTCTGGGCTTGCCCTGGAGAAACACCTCTAGATGAAGACAATTGGATGTGTAAGTGGCCAGATCCACATGCAATTACTTCTTTAGAAGAATTAAGTCGTGGCTTGACAAATGGTCCCTTGTCTGTGATAGGAGCTGTGGCATAAATTCCCTTCTGGGCTACAGTGTAGCACAATTGCCCTCTCTCTATGGTATCATTCTGAAGTTAGACTGCATGGGTTTGAATTCTGGCTCCGTTTCTTACTATTGGTATAGCTTTAGTCAGGTATCCAACCCTTCCATGCTACAATTTCCTAATTGGTAAAATGGGGGAGGGAGATATAATAATATACCTACTTAATGGTATCATTCTAAAAGTTAAGTCAGTTAATACGAGTATGGTAAAAGCAATTAGAAGAACATCTGGCATGTGGTAAGTACTCAATACATATCAGGCACTATTATCATCATTACTATCAATTATTATCATCATCATGACTGGGAGGTAACATGGCAATTTGTCGACATTTTCTTACCAGCCTGGCTGATAAACATCCAGTATATCTGAAGAGAAAGTTTCAGAGTCAAAAGCAAAAAGAGGCCTGGCTTTCTTTATATTGGGTGGGAATAAGGATGAGGGAAGGAATATGAGAGGAACAGGCAATTTGTCCTTTTGGTTTTATTTTAACTACCTCCAGGAAATTAACCTATTCTCACACATCTGGGGAAACAACCAAGTCCATTCCTTCACTTTAATTCTGATTTTTTTCCCACAATGTACACATCCCAGGATTTTTGGCTGACTTTAAAACTACAAACATCAGGTTCATACCAGTAAGCCAAACTCATAGTTGATTTGGAGGTTCATTGTCAATTTAGTAAACAGTGCCTAGATCATAAGATTCAACTGGCACATCATGAAACTCACTGGAGACTGTGTGGACTAAAGAAATGAAGCATCCTCTACCTTTTCACAAGTGCAAACACATTAAGATGCTGCTATTTACAGTTACTCTTTCCCTGTAGACCTGTGGGCATGAGCCATCCTTGGTTTAAGTCACTTGATAGTGACTCAAAGCACAAAGCACAGGGTAATGCCTGTTCTTTCCTTTTTCTTTTTTTTTCTTTTTTCTTTTTTCTTTTTTTTCCTTTTTGAGACAGAGTTTCGCTCTTGTTGCCCAGGCTGGAGCACAGTGGTGCGATCTTGGCTCACTGCAACCTCCACCTCCCAGGTTCAAGCAATTCTCCTGCCTCAGCCTCCCAAGTAGCTAGGATTACAGGCATGTGCCACTACACTCAGCTCATTTTGTACTTTTAGTAGAGATGGGGTTTCACCATGTTGGTCAGGCTGGTCTTGAACTCCTGACCTCAGGTGATCCACCCACCTTGGCCTCCCAAAGTGCTGGGATTACAGGCATGAGCCACCGCGCCCGGCCTACCTGTTCTTTAATCTGACTGTTGAACCCTTCACTTCTCTGGTTAGTTAATTTTCCAGACAGAGGGCGCTGAAAGGACACCCATGTATCATGTGTTATTTACAATTCCTCACCCCAATCCCCAATCTCCACAGCCTCACTCCCTTCTAGTCAGGTTTTGGTGACCATTGGCCCTTGCAGAAGCTGGGTTTAAGTGAAAGCAAAATAAGACATTAAATATTTTCCTCTTCAGCAAATCAGAACCCGGTGGGAAGCAGCATCATCTGTCTCTGGCAGACTAAGCCATGAAGACTGTAAGAAAAAATATTTAGTGATGGAGGAAGGAAAAAAGTATCCATTAGCAAGAGCAAAATAATATGAAAAGTATTTAACAAGGAATATAAAGAATCATCAAAGAAAATGTTATAAAACTTCTTTGAGACCACAAGAGATGAGTAAGTGGAGAAGAACATGGTGTTCACAGAGAGAGAAATATAGTAGATAGAATTAATACAGTTTCAAATTATGTACTTTCCTGCTGTTGGGTGGAGTGTTCTGTAAATGTAACTTAGTCAAGTTACTTGATAGCATTGTTCAGTTATTCTATATCCTTACTGACTTTCTGCTTATTTTTTCTATGAAATATTAAGAAATGAGTATAAAATCTCCAATGATAATTTTGGATTTTTCTATTTCTCCTTTCTTTTATGTCAACTTCGTCTCCTGTATTTTGAAGCTCTGTTTTTAGGTGCATATGCACTTAAGATTGTTATGTCTCTTTAGAGAAATAACCCTTTATCATTAAGTGATGTCTGTCTTTATCCCTATTAACATTTCTCGCTCCAATTTCTGCTTTGTCTAGTATTGACATAATCATTCTGAATTTCTTTTGATTTCTTTTGCATGGTATATATTTCCCTTCTTTTTACTTTTAATGAAGGTATGTCTTTATATTTAAAATGGGTTGCTGATAGGTTATAGTTCAATATTCCATTTTTATTCAATCTGTTCTTCTCTATCATTTAATTGGTCTGTCTGGACCAATTATATTTAATGTACTTATTAATATGGTTGAATTATTTTTACTAGATATTTCTATTAATTCTATGAAATATTTATTTTTATAATCATTTTTTGCTTTCTTTTGGATTAGTTGTTGCCCTAGAATTTTACATATATGAATAATCTATCTTCAAATCTACCTTAGATTAGCATACTCCAGATTTCTCTCTTATTCATTGTGCAATTGTCATATAATTTCTTTCTCATATTCCATAAACACACAATACATTGCTACTATTTTTATTTTAGAGAGTCTGTTACCTTATAAAGCAATGATTCTTAAATGGGGGCAATTTTCCCCTCAAGTGACATTTGACAATGTCTGGAGATAGTTTTTGTTGTCACTAATGGGGAGGCTGCTACCGGCATGTATTGGGTAGAGGCCAGGGGTGCTGTTAAAAGTCCTATAACACACATGACAGCCTCCCACAAAAAAAAACATTATCCTCTGGCTCAAAATATTAATAGTTCTCAGGTTGAGAAACCTCATTTTAGAGCATTTTTTAAACTTTTGAGTTCAAGGGTACATGTTCAGGTCTGTTACATAAACATGTAAATATGTGTCATAGGGGTTTGTTTTATAGATTATTTCATCACCCAGGTATTAAGCTTAGTAACCAATGGTAATTTTTCCTGATCCTCTCCCTCCTCCCACCCTCCACTCTTCAATAGGTCCTAGTGTGTGTGGTTCCCCTCTATGTGTCCATGTATGTGTTATTATAATTTCGCTCCCACTCATAAGTGAGAACATGCGGTATTTGGTTTTCTGTTCCTGTATTAGTCTGCTAAGGATAGTGGTCTCTAGTTCCATCCATGTCCCTGCAAAGAACATGATCTCATTCTTTTTTCTTTTTTTTGAGACAGAGTCTCTCTCTGTCGGCCAGGCTGGAGTGCAGTGGCACGATCTCGGCTCACTGCAAGCTCCGCCTCCTGGGTTCACACCATTCTCCTGCCTCAGTCTCCCGAGTAGCCATCATGCCTGGCTAATGTTTTGTATTTTTAGTAGAGACAGGGTTTCACCGTGTTAGCCAGGATGGTCTTGATCTCCTGACCTCATAATCTGCCCGCCTCGGCCTCCCAAAGTGCTGCGATTACAGGCGTGAGCCACCGTGCCGGCCGATCTCATTCTTTTTTATGGCTGCGTAGTATTCCATGGTGTATATGTACCAAATTTTCTTTATCCAGTCTATCATTGATGGGTATTTAGGTTGATTCCATGTCTTTGCTATTGTGAATAGTGCTACAATGAGCATACGTGTACACGTATCTTTATAATAGAACAATTTACATTCCTTTGGGTATATAGCCAGTAATTGGATTGCTGGGTCAAATGACATGTCTGCCTTTGGGTCTTTGAGGTATTGCCACACTGTCTTCCACAATGGTTGAACTAATTTACACTCCCGCCAACAGTGTATAAACGTTCCTTTTTCTCCACAACCTCATCAGCATCTGTTAGTTTTTGACTTTTTAATAATAGCTATTCTGACTGGTGTGGGATGGTCATTGTGGTCTTGATTTGCATTTCTCTAATGATCAGTGATGTTGAGCTGTTTTTCATATGACTGTTGGCTACATGTATGTCTTCTTTTGAGAAGTGTCCGTTCATGCCCTTTGCCCACTTTTTTATGGAGTTGTTCGTTTTTTTCTTGTACATTTGTTTAAGTTTCTTATAGATGCTGGATATCAGACCTTTGTTGGATGCATAGTTTACAAAACTTTTCTCCCATTCTGTATGTTGTCTGTCCACTCTGCTGATAGTTTCTTTTGCTGTGCAGAAGCTCTTTAGTTTAATTAGATCCCATTTGTCAATTTTTGCTTTTGTTGCAATTACTTTTGCCGATGCCTATGTCCTGAGTAGTATTGCCTAAGTTGTCTTCCAGGGTTTTTATAGTTTTGCGTTTTACATTTAAGTCTTTAATACATCTTAAGTTAATTTTTGTATATGGTGTAAGGAAGAGTTCCAGTTTCAACCTTCTGCATATGGCTAGCCAGTTCTCCCAGCACCATTTCTTGAATAGGAAATCCTTTCCCCATTGCTTGTTTTCCTCAGGCTTGTTGAAGATCAGATAGTTGTAGGTATGAGGTCTTATTTCTGGTGGGTTCTCTATTCTGCTCCATTGCTCTATGTGTCTGTTCTTGTACCAGTACCATGCTGTTCTGGTTACTGTAGCCCTGTAGTGTAGTTTGAAGTCGGGTAGTGTGATGCCTCCAGCTTTGTTCTTTTTGGTTAGGATTGCCTTGACTGTTCAGGCTCTATCTAGTTCTGTGAAGAATCTCAATGGTATTTTTTAATAGGAATAGCATTGAATCTATAAATTGCTTTGGGCAGCACTTGCTTTTAAAGCTTTTATTAAAAATTATTTGTCATTTGTTTAATGATTAATGCTAAGGAAAGGTATCTGTATAGCCAGGTGGCGTGGTGTGCCCCTGTAGTCCCAGCTACTTGGAAGACTGAGGTGGGGCCTGGGAGTTTGAGGCCAGCCTGAGCAACACAGTGAGACCCCATCTCTAAAATTAAGTAAGTAAATTAAAAGATCTATACAAAGAATGTTTACAATATGTACATTAGGACTGGGGAGTTCCTGGGAGGAGAATCAATCACTGCTGGACATGAGGAATATCAGTCTCCAGACAGTCAGCTCTGTAAACTGATTCAGATGATTAAGAATTTCAGTCCAAGTCAACAAGTATTTATTGATTACATACCATAGTCTCTGCAAAGTCTTCATGAAATAACCTCTTAGGTTTAGCTGTAGAATACTCTGGAGCTATGGAGAAGGTAGATCTGGACATGGAGGTAATTTTGCATGTTTTTCAGTAGAATAGCATTACAAAGCAATCTTTCCTTATATTATTATTATTATTATTATTATTATTATTTTGAGATGAAGTCTCACTCTGTCACCCAGGCTGGAGTGCAGTGGCACGATTTCGGCTCACTGCAAGCTCTGTCTCCCAGGTTTACACCATTCTCCTGTCTCAGCCTCTTGAGTAGCTGGGACTACAGGCGCCCGCCATCACGCCTGGCTAATTTTGTTTTTGTATTTTTAGTAGAGATGGGGTTTCACTGTGTTAGCGAGGATGGTCTTGATCTCCTGACCTCGTGATCCGCCTGCTTCTGCCTCCCAAAGTGCTGGGATTACAGTCGTGAGCCACCGCGCCTGGCCTCCTCATATTATTTTTTATTGTGCAGTTTATTCAAGTGAGTTATTTAAAACAACTAGTTCACACACATAGGAGTTGTTGCTGATAAAGAATTGGTGGAAATGATATTAAATAACAATTGTTTTTATAAGTTTCCTCTGCTTCATTAATTTTATGATTGTGAGAGGCCACGTGACTGGATATCAGCATACAGGACTTTGTATCAGAATATGAGCTTGGCAGTCATAAGAGATTACTTACAATTCTTCACAATTCTGTATTTTCATTTGTAAAACTCCATAAAGTTTTTTATAAGAATAAATTGTAGCACCTTATTCATACTGGAATTCAACAGTTCTTAGTTCAAGTCTCCCTTGAGAAAGCTTCACTGTGTTTTTAGTGCAGATTAGTAAAGATAAGATCTTGACTGGTAGGTGAGTGGGTGGAATTTATTTCAAATATGGGGGCTCTCCAATGCTTGCACACCAAATTCATTTACATATTGTCAAAAGCCAGAGGATATTTATGGTAAGTTGCAAAAATAGCTACAAATTCTTTGTAGCCCATTCTGTCAAGAAATGCAATCTATTAATCCACCTCTTGATGTGAGCTAGTACTATGACTTGCTTTGAATAACAGAATGTAATGGAAGTGATGTTGTGAGTTTTAAGTTTCAGCTCAAGACACCTACTGTTTCTATCTTGCACAGGAGAGCTTTCCAGCACCTGTGATAAGCCTCAGCCCGCCTGCTGGATAATGAGCCCACATGGATTGAGAGAGGCCTCCTATCCCTGCCAAACCTATTGATGCTACAGAGATGTGAGGGAGCCCACCTGAGAAAAGCTGAACCTGCCCAGTACATAAAAACCACTCAGGTGGGTTGAGCACAATTTCCTGTCTTACAGAATCATGAGGAGACACTAAACAATTATTTGAAGTCATTAAGTTTTGGAGTACTTTATTACATAAAAAAATCTGACAGATACAAGAGTCTTCAAAAAAATTTTGTTTTTCAGCAATGTCTTAGTGCTTCTGTGGCTCACAGGCTCCCACATGCCTGGAGTGCTACAGGGAGAAGGTTAAATGAATGAGGAAAAATTGATAGGCTTTCCCAGCCCAAAGCATGATGTTATTATCATTATCATTATTAATATTTGTCTTTATATAGGAGCTACCACTTGGGAATAGTTGCTATGTGTCAGACACTGGATTGTATTTAACTTTATAATTGTACTTATCTATCATTTCATTTTACCATATTAACTATCATCTAATAATTTTCCTTCTGTTTTATAGAAAATAACCTTAAGGCTCAGATGTTTTGAGTAGCTTGCCCAAGGTGATGCAGCTGATAAAATGAAAAGCAGCATGGAATACATATTTATCTTATTACAAAATCTGTATCTTTTTACTTTGCTACTCTAGACTCTCTTATTATTGTGAAGCAGCTTTAACTACTGCAAGACAGAAGTCTTGGCCTTCAGAGTAAAACTTCACCAGTGCATAAAGTCAGACTAAAACAATTTGAAAATATACAGTCTTAGAGAATGTTATAACTGTTTATTAGAACTAACATAAATTCTACCTAATTTCTTAGAGGGCTCTTAATGATGTCAATTATAATGGCACATCCCATTGTTATTTTAGTCGTGGAATCAATGGCATGTCAATAAGTGCTTTCTGAGAAAATTGTTGGACAAAGTACTATTTTGAACTCCAAATTTTATTCCCACTATTAATTTATGAAGAGGGCCTTTTCTCTTTCTACTAGACAAAGGTAACAAATTAGCTCTTGTTAAAATGGTATGCTGTTCTTCTGAGTCTCATTTACTTACTACTTTACCTTACATTAAAATTATGACCTGAAGACAGAAGCAACTGGAACAACGTTCACTGTGTTATGGCCGGATGAAGCAGGAAGAGGAAAGAGACAAAACTAGGTTAAAGATAGAAATGGCATCTATTGGGCCAGTAGTGGCCTCACGCCTGTAATTCCAGCACTTTGGGAGGCCAAGGCAGGCAGATCACGAGGTCAGGAGATCGAGACCATCCTGGTTAACACAGTGAAACCCCATCTCTACTAAAAATACAAAAAATTAGCCGGGCGTGGTGGCAGGTGCCTGTAGTCCCAGCTACTTGCAGTGAGCCGAGATTACACCACTGCACTCCAGCCTGGGCGACAGAGCAAGACTCTGTCTCAAAAAAAGAAAAAAAGAAATGGCGTCTATTATCTCTTCAATGACTTTGCCTTGCTTGGACTTTCCCTTCACCCCACAGGATGTGAGGTCTGAAACGGCACCCTCAACTTCCCATCCAAGATACAATTCTAATCCTACATTTAACACCCTAACTTCTTAACTGGAGTTGAGTTATTTAAACTGTAATTTTAATAGGTGAAATTCTGGACTACCATCCCAAAACATTTTGCTCATTTGCCAAAGTCCTAAGGAATTTCCATGAGATACAAAGCAGGTGAGTCTGGATACAGGAAAAAAGATAAAAACATGTTATTTGCTACACAGCCAGAAGGATATTGAGTGGCAAAGGGAGCACATCTCAAAGGGGACCTCAAAAACCCTCTTCATTCACAATGGCAGGAGCTAGAAAGAATAAAGCCACCTATAGGGTCAAATATCTCTCCTAATCATGTTAAGGCACTGGATTCTGAATTCGCACAGAAGGAGACTCTCACCCATCACTCCTCACAAGGACTCATGGCTTGCCCCATAGCATCACATCTGTGCTGCTTACCAGCTGCGTGACCCTGGGAAAAGTCCTTCAACTCTCTGGGCTTTAATGTCCTCCTCGGAAAATGAGAACGATATTAAAATATGACAAGTATATGTAAAGAGTCCAGGAATTTTTCATTCCAAGTGCAGTGTATGTACATTTCTCACAACTGCCTAATGAGGTACCTCAATGCCTCCAGCCAAAGACCAGCAGGAGCATACAAGCAATGAACAAGTCAGCTTTATTGTTTATTGCAATGATGGATAAAACTCACCATGAGAATCATGCAGCCCCTCAGTAAGAGATTGTTGGAACCAAAGAAGTAGAACCAGGAGAATACATATATTAAGATAATGATGCAAGGAATTAATTTTTGCATCTGTGGGGGTGGGCTAGGCAAGTCAGAGATCCTCTGGGAGGTAGTTATCAGGAAGGGCAGGCTGGAACTCTCAGCACAGGCTGACACACTGTCCAGAGTGGAATTTCTGTTTCCTCAGAGAAACCTCAGCTCTGCTCTTAAGGCTTTTCAACAGCTTAGATTAAGCTCACCCAGTTTTCCTAGGATAAATTCTTAAAGTCAACTGATTATGAACTTCAATGACATCTACAAAATATCTTCACAGCAACATCTAGATTGTTAGTGTTTGACTGAATAACTGGGGATCACAGTCTAGCTGACACATAAAATTGACCATTAATCAGTTGTAAGGTTTGTGCTTGTTTTAGGTGATTTTGGGGAGGATTTAAGAAAGAGGGATTTTGCTTTTAATTGGATTCTGACAGAAAGTGGAGGGTTGGGGTGGCAATGTTATGATTGGGTAGCTTCATAAATCCTACCTAGAGGGACAGAAGACTATCCTGAGGCTACAGACGTGGTTGGTAAAGAAGCAGTAATCACTCCCGAGAGAGATGTGCCTGGTCATTTTTGTGGTTTGGACAATATTCATGTTTTGTCTGGGTTCAGACATGATGACTGAGCATTCAGGTGTTCTGTCTCAATCCACTGTGCTCACAGAGTACCTGTCTGATTCTGATGTTCTATGAAATCCTTTATCTCCAACAGGAGAACCAAAACCACCTGGGAGTGCCAGGCTAGCTGCTAGCAACCCCAAGCCTTTGTTAATTACATCCAGACAGTCTCAGGTGTCAGGACATTTTTTTTTTGTTTCACTTTTTTTTTTACGGTGTCTGCCAGTGGGAGGTAAAACATAGTGCTGAGAATCTCAGAAGGCCATTTATCAAGGACAGAGTGATTCTAAATAGAAGCTCCATTAACTTATGGTTTCTATCACATACAGAAAATAGATGCATCTGAAAAAATATAATAAGTTTCCCTCTAAGGACTAACTTTGGCTCAATCTCTAGTCCCTTGCAAATATTTGGAATTTTAGTGTGGTAGGATAACAAGTTTTAAAAGATCTGGTAGTTTAAGAAAAGAAAACCATTTTTCTAAGTCAGTGCAATTCTTCTTATTCTACCCTCAACTTTTGACTTCATATTCTTAATTTTTTTAAAAAAAGTTCTTAGAGTAATTGAGCCAGCCAAATTTTAAATGTAATCAATGTCCCCAAATTTCCTTTAAACATACTCAAGAAGCACCAAAACACAGAATATAAGGATTACTCAATGCAAAGAAAAACTGTATAAAGTCTCATACAGTTACTATAGACAGCACCATCTGACATTATAACCCCTTTTTATTGCCCTGGCCAAAACCACTTGGATCTTTTGAGTGCTTGAGAAGAACTTACCCAGCTGGATTTATACAAGTAGAAAAGGCAAAGGTATTGCTTGGCTACCACCAGCAGAGATCCCTAGGTAGGTGGGGTCAACTTAACATTTGGAGAATTCCACGCGCACTATGGAAGCAAAAAGAAAAACAGCTAACCCTCATACAGAAGCCAGAGAAAGGGCAGGGGATGGGGACTGCCAGGGAGGGAAATCAACTCAGGGAAAAATTCCTGGAGGTTGTAACCCAGAAAATCCTGAAGGATGCCATATAATTGATGACCTCATCTATCCATGAGGCTGCTCAGAAATGCCCACCCCTGGCCAGGCGCGGTGGCTCATGCCTGTAATCCAAGCACTTTGGGAGGCTGAGGCAGGCAGATCACGAGGTCAGGAGTTCAAGACCAGCGTGGCCAACATAGTGAAACTCTGTCTCTACTAAAAATACAGAAATTAGCCGGGCATGGTGGCAGGCACCTGCAGTCCCAGCTACTTGGGAGGGTGAGGCAGGAGAATCGCTTGAACCCGGGAGGCAAAGGTTGCAGTGAGCCGAGACCATGCCATTGTACCTCAGCCTGGGTGACAGAGTGAGACTACGTCTCGAAAAATAAAGAAAAAGAAAAGAAAAAGAAAAAAAAAGAAAAATTCCCATCCCTTTTGCGAATGGCAGACATGCACACACCAGAGAAGATTCCAATTTAGTGTCTTCCCTCTCTTCATAGAACAATTCCTCAAGTCCACTCTGAGTAGAGGCTGCATCACAACAAGGGGATTGCCCTGTCTCCTTCCAGGGCTCTTAATAGAAACTCTTCAACTAGTAACTGAGATGTCACCATGGGGGATTTTTCTAATTGGCCAAAACCTGACTTGGCAGGGTTTGGTTTGGGTGTCTTCAGATTTCCTTGTCTTGAGGTCCTCACAATTACTCTACAGCTCAGAACAGCAACTGCTGAGGCTGCCTTGGGAAGAAGATGATCCTAAACAAAGCTCTGATGCTGGGGGCCCTCGCCCTGACCACCGTGATGAGCCCTTGTGGAGGTGAAGACATTGTGGGTGAGTGCGTGAGTGAGGAATGTTCTCTGGAGCTGAAAAACAGTAAATTGAAGGAAAAGAGAGAAAGCGATTTGCAGAGAAATTGTAGAGATTTCCTAAGACCCCTTTCAGTATTAAGAGAATTAAAAATTATAGCTGTTCCTCCTTCAGGAAACCAGAGCCCCAACCTACTCTTTTTGTTATGTATGCTTTTGTGTTCACTAAGGATGCTATTCTGTTTATATTATATTCAGTGACTACAGCCTGGAGGTCTCTATGTCATTCCATCATGATTGCCTCAAAAATTAGTGAGGTTTCCATCAGTGGATAATTTTTTATTATTAAAAATGTATGAAGTGTCATTCTCAAATTTCCCTGAACAACTTTTGAAGATTTTCGGATGTCTCCTGTAGTAGATCTTGGGGTCGTTCCATCAATTATATACTCTATAGATATTAAAAAAGTTGCCCGTTTCTTTCTCTCAGACTTACTCACATTTCCACATGGGAACTGGCACAGGTGGGGAGTAGGTAAAGGAGTCCAGCAGGCTGAATGCCTTCAACAATCATTTTACCACATGGTCCTCACTTACTCTCAGCTGCCTCATATGTGTCACCTCACAAATAATCAAATAAAATGGGCATGTAGCTAAGCTTTGTAAATAGTGAAAACATGGATGTCAATTGTTTTTACATATTTCTATTACAGGTATAGCTTCACATTTCTTTTCTTTAGCAAAATAAGGGATCCTTTTAGTTTAAAATTGAGAAGTAGAAAAAATTGGTAAATTAAATCATTTTATTCTCAAATTATCAACCCAAATTACCTGTTCTTCACCTCATCTAATAAAGTCCTATAAAAAGAAAAGTGGGCCAGACATGGTGGCTCATGCCTGTAATCCCAGCACTTTGGGAGGCCGAAGCAGGAGGATCATTTGAGCCTGGGAGTTTGAGACCAGCCTGGGCAACACAGCAAGACCTCATCTCTACCAAAAAATAAAATAAAAATTAGCCAGGCATGGTAGTGCATGCCTGTGGTGCCAGCTACTCAGAAGGCTGCAGTGGGAGGAGCACTTGAGTCCAGGAGGTGGAAGCTGCAGTGAGCCATGATGGCACCACTACACTCCAGCCAGGGCAACAGAGAGAGACCCTGTCTCAAAAAGAAAGCGGAAAGAAAGAGAGAAAGGAAGGAAAGAAGGAAAGAAGGAAGCAAGGAAGGAGAAAGGGAAGGGAAGAAAGAAGAAAGAAAGAAAGAAAACAGAAGGAAGGAAGCACAGATTAATTATTTGGTCTCTTAGTCTCCTCTGCCTTTGTCGTCCATCTCTTCCCACCTCTCTTCATGCATTCCTTTCTCCCTCTTCCCTTTCAGGATCCATCTCTGACTCCCTGCTCCTTTATAGAGATGGACATGAGTTTGTAAAACAAAAGTTGAAAAGTCAGATAGTTAAAAGGGGAAGTAAACTGGAAGGTACTCTAAACTTTCACAACCTTATTAACCGTGGCAGCTCCCATTCTGATTTTGTTCAGCAGTGGAAGTTTCACCCTCTCCTCCAGAGCGCTTGGCTTCTTTGTTCCAAATTTCCTTTCTTCAGCCTCACACCAGAGTGCCCTGGTCAGGCTCAGCTCATCCATTAGGCACAATGTGGGCAGTGCAGGGGAACCTCCATACTGTAAAGCCACATGAGAATGTTTTAACTCCTTTTAAAATTATAAAAAAATGAAATTGTAGAGCCTAAGAAAATGTTTTAACTTTTAATTCAGCCTATATTATATTGTCTTTATACCAATTCAGTCATAAAATATAATTTTCCATATTTTTATGGAGGAAGGCGTCCACACAAGCAAGAGTGCTTGGGGCTCACATGTCAGAACGCATCCCTGATCATGGCTGATCCTGACCTTCGTGTGGTTCTGCTAACTATGTGCCTGTCAGTCTTCCCCAAAATCTATGTGGTCCTCAAATATAACAACTGTCATTCAATACACATGTTTGAGCACCCAGTGAGCTAAGTTTTAAGGATTCAAAGATGAAAAGTCATGCTGTCTCCCCTGCAGAGGGTGCTCAGACTAGTGATGGAAACAGTATGGGATGAAAGAAAGCAGAAGGCCATTGCTGAGCAGGCAGTGGACTCAGCAGAGGCTGAAACTATACAAGTGACTTGGTTCCAGCTGGGCCAGCAGGATAACCAGACGAAAAGAAGGATTGCATATATTCCATATATATTTATGTTTGAACAAAGAGTCAAGGTTTATTGCAAGGATAAGGAGGCTTTGTTGGTGGCCTGTTAAGACCATCCAGCGTGGTCATACTGGATAGGGAAGAAGGTGAGCTGGAAGAGGGATAGACAAACTTGGATGGCCAGATGTTGAGATGGAGGAGCTGGAGGTCATAACGTGGTCAAAAACATGTTGATGAGAGGACTTAGCTACAAAGTTGTTAACTTAAGCAGAAACCTCAAGGATTGATTTTATGATTTCTCCAGGAAGTCCTAAAAGATAATTTCATTTCAGGGAGGAAAACAACAGACCACTGCAAAGACCAGGAACATGAAAGGATAATGTAGTTTGGTTTGCTTGGCAGATACTTGTGAAAGATGTTGGACTGTAAGGCTGTCAATATCCTCCTCGCAGAACTTACTACAGTACATTGTATCTGCTCCCTTACCTACCTGACTCTCCCACTATTCAGTTTGTTCCTTAATGGTAGACCATGCCTGATTGGTGTTTTACACTTCCCCTGCTATGTCTGATACTTGTGGATGCTCAGAAAGTGGGGAAGGAAGGAAAGATACGATGGTAAAAGGCTTACACATGTCTTGACCAGAATGTTCAGTTTGGCTCATTTGGCTGGAGTCATACTGCATGGCTGCCATTCTGCTCTGGCATCCTCAGAGAAGCACACTGCCCATTAGAGGAAAAAGGGTGAATATAAATGTTGAGTCAGAACACTGCAGACATTTAGTAACCTCCTTCAGAGGAAAAAAAGGGTGGGGGGAATGACAGAAATCCAAAAACTAGTAGAGCTTCCACTTTTTCATTTCAGAAGAAATCAGTTACTCTCCTCTAAGGACCATTACTATTAACAAAACAGAGACCTTAGAAGGAAGCATTATTTATTTATCATATATTTTGTAATGTTATTACCGTTCTTGTTATACTCTTTCTTATACCCTACCATTGTTAGCAGAAATTATTTTAAATTAATAAGATCCTGCATGCTTTTCCTTTTTCTAAAAAAAGAAAGATCTCTGTGTAGAATGTCCTGTTCTGAGCCAGTCCTGAGAGGAAAGGAAGTATAATCAATTTGTTATTAACTGATGAAAGAATTAAGTGAAAGATAAACCTTAGGAAGCAGAGGGAAGTTAATCTATGACTAAGAAAGTTAAGTACTCTGATAACTCATTCATTCCTTCTTCTGTTCATTTACATTATTTAATCACAAGTCCATGATGTGCCAGGCACTCAGGAAATAGTGAAAATCGGACACGCGATATTCTGCCCTTGTGTAGCACACACTGTAGTGGGAAAGAAAGTGCACTTTTAACTGGACAACTATCAACACGAAGAGGGGAGGAAGCAGGGGCTGGAAATGTCCACAGACTTTGCCAAAGACAAAGCCCATAATATTTGAAAGTCAGTTTCTTCCATCATTTTGTGTATTAAGGTTTTTTATTCTCCTGTTCTCTGCCTTCCTGCTTGTCATCTTCACTCATCAGCTGACCACGTTGCCTCTTACGGTGTAAACTTGTACCAGTCTTACGGTCCCTCTGGCCAGTTCACCCATGAATTTGATGGAGACGAGGAGTTCTATGTGGACCTGGAGAGGAAGGAGACTGTCTGGAAGTTGCCTCTGTTCCACAGACTTAGATTTGACCCGCAATTTGCACTGACAAACATCGCTGTGCTAAAACATAACTTGAACATCCTGATTAAACGCTCCAACTCTACCGCTGCTACCAATGGTATGTGTCCACCATTCTGCCTTTCTTTACTGATCTATCCCTTTATACCAAGTTTCATTATTTTCTTTCCAAGAGGTCCCCAGATCTTCTCATGGCAATTGCTGAAATTTTATCATTTCTCATCTCTAAAATCACATATCCCCATGTAATACAAGGGTCTTTCCATTATGCATTCATTAAATCATTCTAGGAGAGGTCTCATCAACCTCCTACTTTATTAAACATGCCCACAGAGAGAAGGGCACAGGAGTAAAGCAGAGGCAATGTGTCATTGCTCCCAAGTAGAAGGTAAATAAGGCCTCTTTGACCAGCAGGAGAGGAAATGCTGGTAGGAAGACTCTTCCAGGATGTAATGCAGAAGCTCAGGGCAGAGCTATTCACACTTCACACCAGTGCTGTTTCCTCACCATAGAGGTTCCTGAGGTCACAGTGTTTTCCAAGTCTCCCGTGACACTGGGTCAGCCCAACACCCTCATCTGTCTTGTGGACAACATCTTTCCTCCTGTGGTCAACATCACCTGGCTGAGCAATGGGCACTCAGTCACAGAAGGTGTTTCTGAGACCAGCTTCCTCTCCAAGAGTGATCATTCCTTCTTCAAGATCAGTTACCTCACCTTCCTCCCTTCTGCTGATGAGATTTATGACTGCAAGGTGGAGCACTGGGGCCTGGATGAGCCTCTTCTGAAACACTGGGGTAAGGATGAGTTTCACCATTTTTTGATGCTTTCTTGTCTGTCAAGTTCAGAACTTCCTGCCTTTTACTCTATGTCCCAAAACTTGTTTTCCACACTTCATGAGTTTCTTTTATCTTTTTTTTTTTTTGAAAGAATTAAGCAACAAAAGCACAGATTTATTAAAAAAGAAAGTACACTCCACAGGGTGGGAGCAGGCCTGCCACTTCATGGGTTTCTAATAACAGACTTCACTCTCCTCCCTGAGCCAGGGGCCTTGAGTCTTTGCAGAGCCAACCCTCCACCCCATCCCATCCCTCACACATGCACATGAGCACACTCTGCATTCTGACCTCAACAACTTCACTTCCACAGAGCCTGAGATTCCAGCACCTATGTCAGAGCTCACAGAGACTGTGGTCTGTGCCCTGGGGTTGTCTGTGGGCCTCGTGGGCATTGTGGTGGGGACCGTCTTGATCATCCGAGGCCTGCGTTCAGTTGGTGCTTCCAGACACCAAGGGCCCTTGTGAATCCCATCCTGAAAAAGAAGGTAAGTTTGAGATTTGTTAGAGCTGAAGCTGCAGGAAGGAAAGTGGGAGGAGGCTGTGGACATGAATGTGGTTGAAAGTTGTAGGGGAATTGGGAAGTGGCATGATGATGACACAGGAGCCCCCTTGGACCCATCGATCTCATGTCTGTCCTGTTGCAGGTGCATCACCATCTACAGCAGCGGAAGAGTGGACTTGCTACATGACCTAGCACTATTCTCTGGCCCGATTTATCATACCCTTTTTCTCCTGCAAATGTTTCTCCTCTTACCTTTTCTCTGCTTTTTTTTCCTTAAGCTTCTGTATCCCCTCAGAGCTCACAAATGCCTTTGAATTCTTTCCCTGACCTCCTGATTTTTTTTTCTTTTCTCAGGTGTTACCTACTAAGAGATGCCTGGGGTAAGCCGCCCAGCTACCTAATTCCTCAGTAACATCGATCTAAAATCTCCATGGAAGCAATAAATTCCCTTTAAGAGATCTATGTCAAATTTTTCCATCTTTCATCCGGGGCTGACTGAACCTATGGCTAAGAATTGGGACACTCTCATGTTTCAAGCCAATTTCATCTCATTTCCCAGATCATATTTCATATCCAGTAACACAGAAGCAACCAAGTACAATATAGCCTGATAATATGTTGATTTCTTAGCTGACATTAATATTTCTTTCTTCTTTGTGTTCTCACCCTTGGCACTGCCGCCCATCCCTCAATTCAGGCAACAATGAAGTTAATGGATACTCTCTGCCCTTTGCTCAGAATTGTTATAGCAAAAATTTTAAAACCAAAAAATAAGTTTGTACTAATTTCAATATGGCTTTTAAAAGTATGATGGAGAAATAAATTAGGATAAAGGAACTTTGAATCACAAAAATATCAAAAGTAAAAATTTATTCTCAAAACTTTGAATTTGTAAAGAATGATGACAGTAGAAGCCTTCCTCTCCCCTCCTCGCCTTTAGGGAATAAAAATTCTTTAGGTAGGAAAAGAAATGGAAGTCAGAAAAACATTAGAAAAAGACAGTAATGTGGGTATCTGAAAAGGAACAAATACTTATTCCTCACATAGGGTTAGTGACAATGGGAAAAGGGATAGGAGTAGAAGCCACAGACATATCTAGGAGCCCTGAATAGAGGCGCAGTCTGCCTCACCTCCTGAATGAAGCTTTGCTAGATAACCACGTAGCTTTCCCTGTGCCACCCTTGCATGAAGCAGACAGTATAGTGGATATGGCAGGATGTTTCTAGGAAACATGCCGATACAAAACAATGCCAGTATCTTCAGAAATCCCCAGCCCTTTCCCCTCACCCCTCCTGGCTAAGGAAAGCACTAGCTTATGAGAGAAACCCTAGGAGGAACAACACAGTTGAGACAATGTAGCAGCAGCTGTGGGTGCTGTGTCCTCCACTGGATTGGCCATTTCCTAGCAGAAACTCTCCCAGAGGAAATGGTCAGCAGTGACCCCATGGCTCTAAACAGCTATGAAATCTGTGAGGGTATTTCTATCCATGCAACCTGCATCAGTGAGTTTAAATTTTAATTGGAGAAAAAAGACAAAATATTAACACATTAATTGATACAGTATAGTTTGGTGCAAAGAACCCTAAATCCAAATCAAGGATTCAGTACTTTGAAGCTAGTATTTTAAACTTTATAAATGGGTAAAGTATCTAACATTTCTGGCCTTATTTTTCTCTTCCACAATGGAGGAGTAATAATACTTTCCTTGCAGAGCTATTGATGGAATTTGAATAATCTTGATATATAGTCAATGCCTTACATATAGTACATAAATACACAAGAAAACATTGTGGTTATATTTATAATTAATTTATTTAAAAGAATGGATCACGTTATATGAAAAGTACTTTTGTTTTTCTCAGCCCCTTAATGATTTAGGAGATTCAAATGTATGTAGAACTATGGGTGAATTTCTTTTCATATGATCATTGCAGGATATTGTTTTCTCCAAAATGAGAGATGCTGAGATCAATTGCTGAGAGAACTCTTAGGATGAGAAATCGTAATATTTCACTTTGGTTTTCAACTCTTTAAGAAGGGATATATTCCCTCCTTGTGGCCTATAAGTCTTTATTCAAAGTATTTCATATGCAACAGATGTTTATGCATGTTTACTTTGGGGAGGAGGTGAAGAAAGTTCAAGGAGAAAATAATTTAAAATGCAGACTAGGAATCAGTAAGCAAGGGAGTCTGAACAAGTGATCATCAAAAAAATGTCCATCACAGAGCACAGAGCATTTTTAGGGCAATGAAACTACTCTATTTGATACCACGATGTTGAAAAATGTCATTATGCATTTGCCCAAATCCACAGAATGTACAACACCAAGAGTGAGACAATGTAAACCATGGACTTTGGGTGATAATGATGTGCCAATGTAAGTTCATAAATTATAGCAAATGTACCACTCTGGAGGGAAATTTTGCTAATGGGGGAGGCTATGCATGTGTGGGAGCAGAATGTATCTGGCAGCCGTCCCCAACGTTTTTGGCACCAGGGACCAGTTTTATGGAAGACAATTTTTTCACAGATAGTGGGGGGAATGTGGGTATGATTTGGGGATGAAACTGTGAAACTGTTCCACCTCAGATCAAAAAGCATTAGCAAGGTTCTCATAAGGAACATGCAACCTAGATCTTTTGCATGCACAGTTAACAATAGGGTTCGCGCTCCTATGAGAATCTAATGCCACCACTGATCTGACGGAAGGCGGGGCTCAGTTGGTAATGCTACCTCGTCCACTGCATGGTCCAGTTTCTAACAGGCCACCAGCTGGTACTGGTCCATGGCCCAGGGGGTTGGGAACCTTTGGGATATCTCTGCAGCTTCTGCTCAGTTTTTCTGTGAACCAGCAACTGCTTTAAAATAAAGTCTATTTTTTTATTATACTTTAAGTTTTCGGGTACATGTGCACAACGTGCAGGTTTGTTACACATGTATACATGTGCCATGTTGGTGTGCTGCACCCATTAACTCGTCATTTACAGTAGGTATATCTCCTAATGCTATCCCTCTCCCCTCCCCCCACCCCACAACAGACCCCGGTGTGTGATGTTCCCCTTCCTGTGTCCACGTGTTCTCATTGTTCAATTCCCACCTATGAATGGGAACATGTGGTGTTTGGTTTTTTGTCCTTGGGATAGTTTGCTGTGAATGATGGTTTCCAGCTTCATCCATGTCCCTACAAAGGACATGAACTCATCATTTTTTATGGCTGCATAGTATTCCATGGTGTGTATGTGCCACATTTTCTTCATCCAGTCTATCATTGTTGGACATTTGGGTTGGTTCCAAGTCTTTGCATTTGTGAATAGTGCCAAAATAAACATACATGTGCATGTGTCTTTATAGCAGCATGATTTATAATCCTTTGGGTATATACCCAGTAATGGGATGGCTGGGTCAAATGGTATTTCTAGTTCTAGATCCCTGAGGAATCGCCACACTGACTTCCACAATGGTTGAACTAGTTTACAGTCCAATCAACAGTGTAAAAGTGTTCCTATTTCTCCACATCCTCTCCAGCACCTGTTGTTTCCTGACTTTTTAATGATTGCCATTCTAACTGGTGTGAGATGGTATCTCATTGTGCTTTTGATTTGCATTTCTCTGATGGCCAGTGGTGATGAGCATTTTTTCATGTGTTTTTTGGCTGCATAAATGTCTTCTTTTGAGAAGTGTCTGTTCATATCCTTTGCCCACTTTTTGATGGGGTTGTTTGCTTTTTTCTTGTAAATTTGTTTGAGTTCATTGTAGATTCTGGATATTAGCCCTTTGTCAGATGAGTAGATTGCAAAAATTTTCTCCCATTCTGTAGGTTGTCTGTTCACTTTGATGGTAGTTTCTTTTGCTGTGCAGAAGCTCTTTAGTTTAATTAGATCCCATTTGTCCATTTTGGCTTTTGTTGCCATTGCTTTTGGTGTTTTAGACATGAAGTCCTTGCCCATGCCTATGTCCTGAATGGTATTGCCTAGGTTTTCTTCTAGGGTTTTTATGGTTTTAGGTCTAACATTTAAGTCTTTAATCCATCTTGAATTAATTTTTGTATAAGGTGTAAGGAAGGGATCCAGTTTCAGCTTTCTACATATGGCTAGCCAGTTTTCCCAGCACCATTTATTAAATAGGGAATCCTTTCCCCATTTCGTGTTTTTGTCAGGTTTGTCAAAGATCAGATAGTTGTAGATATGCAGCATTATTTCTGAGGGCTCTGTTCTGTTCCATTGGTCTATATCTCTGTTTTGGTACCAGTACCATGCTGTTTTGGTTACTGTAGCCTTGTAATATAGTTTGAAGTCAGGTAGCATGATGCCTCCAGCTTTGTTCTTTTGGCTTAGGACTGACTTGGCAATGCAGGCTCTTTTTTGGTTCCATGTGAACTTTAAAGTAGTTTTTTCCAATTTTGTGAAGAAAGTCATTGGTAGCTTGCTGATAAGCAACTTCAGCAAAGTCTCAGGATACAAAATCAATGTACAAAAATCACAAGCATTCTTATACACCAATAACAGACAAACAGGGGAGCCCGTCCGGCCATGGTGGCCGCGGCTGGTGGTTGGCGCGGCTGCGCTGCGGCCCGGGGCAGTGCGGAGCCGGGACAGTCGCGGCGCTGACGCCCGCGGGCCCCAGCTGCAGATATGAAGCGGAGCCGCTGCCGCGACCGACCGCAGCCGCCGCCGCCCGACCGCCGGGAGGATGGAGTTCAGCGGGCAGCGGAGCTGTCTCAGTCTTTGCCGCCGCGCCGGCGAGCGCCGCCCGGGAGGCAGCGGCTGGAGGAGCGGACGGGCCCCGCGGGGCCCGAGGGCAAGGAGCAGCCGCCTGCCTTGGCCTCCCAAAGTGCCGAGATTGCAGCCTCTGCCCGGCTGCCACCCCGTCTGGGAAGTGAGGAGTGTCTCTGCCTGGCCGCCCATCGTCTGGGATGTGAGGAGCCCCTCTGCCTGGCTGCCCAGTCTGGAAAGTGAGGAGCGTCTCCGCCCGGCCGCCATCCCATCTAGGAAGTGAGGAGCGCCTCTTCCCAGCCGCGATCACATCTAGGAAGTGAGGAGCGTCTCTGCCCGGCCGCCCACCGTCTGAGATGTGGGGAGCGCCTCTGCCCCGCCGCCCCATCTGGGATGTGAGGAGCGCCTCTGCCCGGCCGAGACCCCGTCTGGGAGGTGAGGAGCGTCTCTGCCCGGCCGCCCCGTCTGAGAAGTGAGGAGACCCTCTGCCTGGCAACCACCCCGTCTGAGAAGTGAGGAGCCCCTCCGCCCGGCAGCTGCCCCGTCTGAGAAGTGAGGAGCCTCTCCGCCCGGCAGCCACCCCATCTGGGAAGTGAGGAGCGTCTCCGCCCGGCAGCCACCCAGTCCGGGAGGGAGGTGGGGGGGGGTCAGCCCCCTGCCCGGCCAGCCGCCCCATCCGGGAGGGAGGTGGGGGGGTCAGCCCCCCGCCCGGCCAGCCGCCCACTCCGGGAGGGAGGTGGGGGGGTCAGCCCCCCTGCCCGGCCAGCCGCCCCGTCCGGGAGGTGAGGGGCGCCTCTGCCCGGCCGCCCCTACTGGGAAGTGAGGAGCCCCTCTGCCCGGCCACCGCCCCGTCTGGGAGGTGTGCCCAACAGCTCATTGAGAACGGGCCAGGATGACAATGGCGGCTTTGCGGAATAGAAAGGCGGGAAAGGTGGGGAAAAGATTGAGAAATCGGATGGTTGCCGTGTCTGTGTAGAAAGAAATAGACATGGGAGACTTTTCATTTTGTTCTGCACTAAGAAAAATTCCTCTGCCTTGGGATCCTGTTGATCTGTGACCTTACCCCCAACCCTGTGCTCTCTGAAACATGTGCTGTGTCCACTCAGGGTTAAATGGATTAAGGGCGGTGCAAGATGTGCTTTGTTAAACAGATGCTTGAAGGCAGCATGCTCGTTAAGAGTCATCACCAATCCCTAATCTCAAGTAATCAGGGACACAAACACTGCGGAAGGCCGCAGGGTCCTCTGCCTAGGAAAACCAGAGACCTTTGTTCACTTGTTTATCTGCTGACCTTCCCTCCACTATTGTCCCATGACCCTGCCAAATCCCCCTCTGTGAGAAACACCCAAGAATTATCAATAAAAAAATAAATTAAAAAAAAAAAAAAAAAAAAAAAAAAAAAAAACAGACAAACAGAGAGCCAAATCATGAGTGAACTCCCATTCACAATTGCTTCAAAGAGAATAAAATACCTAGGAATCCAACTTACAAGGGATGTGAAGGACCTCTTCAAGGAAAACTACAAACCACTCCTCAATGAAATAAAAGAGGATACAAACCAATGGAAGAACATTCCATCCTCATGGGTAGGAAGAATCAATATCGTGAAAATGGCCATACTGCCCAAGGTAATTTATAGATTCAATAAAGTCTGTTTTTAAAAAGGAGAAGAAAAGGTAACCAATTATGATCCCAAATATATAAAATAAAACTTTTAGTATGAAAAAGTCACATTAAAATGCGCAAATGTGCTAAGAAATTTTTAGCAATAGGGTTTCAAATAAATTTCATATAAATTTCAATGATTCATAAGGCAAGAATCCAGCATATTGGAGTTGTGTGCATTTGTGTGCTTGTGTGTGTGTGTGTGTGTGTGTGTGTGTGTGTGTGTGTGTGTAATATAAGGGGTATACTGAATGGCAAAATGACTAGTCATACAGAAATCTACAAATGCTGCCCAACTCAGACTCATTCCTCAAGAAGTACTGTGGAAAGCAAATTTAATGATAGTGCATTTTATTAAAAGGTTGTATTCAAAAAGTATTTATGTAATGTTAAAATAGCAGAATTAAAACTAATTCTAAAAAATAAGAGTAAATTTTTTTAATCAGCTAAAAAAGTAGGGTCATTATTGACATTACTATAAATGGGGTTACAGATCAACCTGCATGATTTTAAATCATGCGATACTTAAAAATTATTTCAGTTATTTGAATTATTTCAGATTATATACATAAAGTGTGACTTCATTAATATTTAATATCACATTATTTAAAATTTACAAAATTAGTGGGTCACAGAGGCTCGTGCCTGTGATCTTAACAGTTTGGAGGCCAATGGAGGAGGATTGCTTGAAGCCAGGAGTTCAACAGCTGCCTGGGCAACAAAGCAAGACCCCATCTCTACAACATAAAAATAAATTAGCGCATGGTGGCGCGCCTGTAATCCCAGCTACTCTGGAGGCTGAGGCGAGAGGAGCGAACCCAGGAGTTCAGGGCTTCAGAAGGCTAGGATTGTGCCACTGTGCTCGCTCCAGCCTAGGCAACAGAGCAAGACCCCACCTCTAAAAATAAATAAATAAATAAATAAATTTTACAAAATTTTAAAAATCACATGAAATATTTCAGGTTTGTACTTGCCACAGACAAACTAGGGATTTGAAGAATTAAACATTTTATTTTACTTACAGTCTGTACTGGCACATAGTAAGTAGTCAGTAGGTGTTAACAATTAGTGTTATTGTTATTTTCTGGAGTCCAACTAACAAATCCCATAGCGAATGACACCACAGGGATGAAACCAACAAGATCCAGCATATGGGAACTTCCACTAGATAACTCAATTTTTTCAGCAACAATTCAAAGACAGACAGAGAGAGAGAGAGAGAGAAAGAAGAGAAGAGAAGAGAAGGGAAGGGAAGAGAAGAGAAGCTATACATTTTTAAAAGGCTGAAGAAATGTATGAACCATATTGATATGAGGCAATCAGAAAAATTGACACCGACTGTATTAAGGAAATAGCTAATTTTAGTGTGGTAATAGCATTGCTGTTATGTTTCTAAAAAGTCATTATACTTTAGATTTTCATAATAAAATAATTATGAATGAAGTATGGTATCTGAAAGTATCTTCAGAATAACCCAGTGTGCATGTATGATTAATTGGGTGGGTTTACAAAATTGCCCATGAATTGATCATTGTTAAAGCTTGGCTGTTAAAACATGGCACTCTTCTCTCTAACACTGTTGAAGTTTTCTGTAATACAAAGTTTTTTAAAAAATGCATTCCAGGAAAGTCCCATAAACATAGGCAGAGAAACATTCTGTTTGAAGTTATGTTAGTTTTTAGGCTTTTCTCATTTTTATCACAGTTGGGAAATCCTAAGTATCCAAATCCTGCCTAAGACTATAGGAACCTCTCAAAAATGCAACTCTAAAGAATGTGTATGCAAGAACTAATAATAGCAAAGGAAAGCAAAGTACTTTTTCCTTTATTATTGGCTGTACTAAGCCCCCAGACTTGTTTATATATTCCTTAATTCATCAAAACTGCAAAAATGGTCTTTGAGTACCATTATAGCAATAAGTACCATACTTTGTTATACGTATCATTAAAATAATGTGAAAAGAGATACATTCATTGTCTTCATAGAACTTACACTCTAGTGGGAAGAAATATACATATATTACATAATTCCACAAACATATAATTACAAACTCTGAATAATTTATAAAGGAAAAGAGAACAAGGTAAAGTGAGAGAGTGTTGCACAGGAACCAGGTATAATTTGGGGGAGATTAGAGGTGGCTCGAAGAAGTTTATCTTGAGATGAAATAAGATGGTATACAGTAGGTAAAAGACAAGGTTGAGGCAGTCAGAGCAAATGTTTGAGAAACTCTTACAACACGAAAGAGAAGATGAGAATAAAATAACATGAAAATTATCACAGATTTAATATGGAAAGCTCATGTAACAGCAAACAAGTTTAAAGTCTTTCTAATTAGAATTCTTAATCTGTAAAAGTAATAATAGAATGCTATAAACAATCGGAAAATTTAATAGGAAGGTTGGAAACCTAAATCAAGAAATATGAAGGGGCAAAAACTGTACCTACCACACATAGTTTTATTAGAAGTTGACTAAGGATATTACTTAGTAAAGTGGAATTGTTAATCAGGAAATGGGAAGATAAGGAATCCAGAAAACTGAATTTAACCCAGGACCTCACTGAAAAGGGATCCTATTACAGCAGTTCCTTGGCAAGCAAAGAACGTCTGATACATGAGTGATATTTAGAAAATGATAAACTATTTTTTTCAATTTTTAGAATTAAGCTACGAGCAAAGCCCAAGTATGCTTATTGTTACAGCAGAATGTCAAAATTGTCAGCTTTGACAATATTGAAAAAAGGGTGCCTGTATCTCATTTTGGCAAGTGGAAGCATAAAGGGGAGGGGAAAGGAAGGGTATCAATGCCAATAACTTCATCTCCCAAGAAGCAGAAAAGAGACATTGCCCATAGTTAAGGAAGAAATCACAAAGATCACTACATTTAAATTACATTTGTACCAAAAGAATTATGTAAGATGGCTCATGAATTAAAGCAGGGTTTTAGAAATTGGACTATCATTCAGTCAAAAAGTCTTCATCCTAACCCCCAGGGAGTTCTGAAGCTGTAGGATCCCTTCAGATTTGGCTTAATTTAGGGAAAGCGTTTAGGACATTTATACCCCAACACTGACCAGTCATTATAGGTGGGTTCTTCCTGGGAAGTGGAGTAAAATCTGATGAGGCTGCTTTCATCACCTAAAGCAATTCTGGGGGATGACTGACAGCTAAGGGCTGTCAGCCAGCAACATTCCCAGCAGTGAGAGAATAAATCCTTCAGTCCCAAAGGGAGGAGTTTAGGTAGAACAGAACAGCATCCACAACAGAAACGGTGTTCTAGTTCCTGGGAATACGTATATATTCATGTAGAAGAAAACAAACAAACAAACAAAATATATATATAGTTTTATTTTGCAGTCTCACTCTGTCACCCAGGCTGGAGTGAAATGGTGTGGTCTCGGCTCACTGCAACCTCCGCCTCCTGGGTTCGAGCAATTCTCCCACCTCAGCCTCCCAAATAGCTGGGACTACAGGAGAATGCCACCATGCCCGGCTAATTTTTGTATTTTTAGTAGAGACGGGGTTTCACTATGTTGGCTAGGTTTGTCTTGAACTCCTGACCTAGTGATCCGCCCACCTCGGCCTTCCAAAGTACTGGGATTACAGGCGTGAGCCACGGCGCCCCACCCAAATAAATGTTTTTTTTTTAATTCATCATCTATTTAAAAAATAAAAATAGAACTACCACATCATCCAGCAATTCCACTGCTGGGTACATCTGCAAAGAAAATGAAATCAGTGTATCAAAGAGGTATCTGTACTCCCATGTTCATCGCAGCACTACTCACAATGGCCAGGAGATGTTAACAACCTAAGTCTCAATCAGCAGATGAGTGTATAAGGAAACTGTGGTCCATATACACAATGGAATACTATTCAGCCTTGTAAAAGAAGGAAATCTTTTACATTTTTTACAACATGGATGAACCTGGAAGACATTATGTTAAGTGAAATAAGCCAGGCACAGAAAGACAAATACTGCATGACCTCACTTACCTGTGGAATCTAAAAAAGTCAAAATCATGGCAGGTCGGGGAGTGGGGGTAGCAGGGAGGGGGACAAAGAGGAATGAGAAGATGTTGGTCAAAAGTTACAAAGAAGGGCAGGGTGTGGTGGCTCATGCCTATAATCCCACCACTTTGGGAGGCTGAGGCAGGTAGATTGGTTGAGCACAGGAGTTCAAGACCAGCTGGGCAGCATGGTGAAACCCTATCTTTACAAAAAATACAAAAACTAGCCAGGCATGGTCACACATGCCAGTAGTCCCGGCTACTCCAGAGACTGAGGTGGGAGGATGGATTGAGCCCGGGAAGTGAAGGCTGCAGTGAGCTGTGATCGTACCACTGCACCCCAGCCAGACCTAGACCCCGTTTCAGAAAAAAAGTACAAAGTTTCAGTTAGGCAGGAGGAATAAGTACTGAAGATCGATTGTACAGCATGGTGACTACGGTTAATAATAATGTACAGTCGTCCCTCGGCATCCACGAGGGATTTGTTCCAGTATCCTCTCTGTATACCAAAATCTGAGAATGCTCAGGTCCCTTATTAAAAATGTCTTAGTTTTTGCATATAAACTAAGCCTATCCTCCTGTATGCTTTAAATCATCTCCAGATTATACTTAGAATACCCAATGTAATGTAAATGCTATGAAAATAGTTGTTATACTGTATTGTTTTTGAATTGGAATTATTTTTATAGTTATATTGTTAGTTTTCATTTTTTTCTAAATATTTTCAACCCACAGTTGAATGAATGAGAGGATGTGAAACCCACAGATATAGAGGGCCAACTGTATTGTATATTTGAAAATTGCAGAGAGAGATTTTAAATATTCATACCACCAAAAAGTGAAGTGATGGATATGTTAATTAGCCTGGTTTAATCACATGTATCAAAAAAATTACACAGTACCCTGTAAATCCACAGTGATTTGTCAATTAAAAATAATTAATGAGTTCAAAATTCTTTTGAAGTGTAACATCCTTAACTTTTTCTTGTTCAAATAAAGTTTTCTTTTTATTTTTTTAATTTGTTTTAAAAACTCATCTCTTAACTTCCATTAACTCAGTTGATTCACCCTATTAACTTAAGGACTCTCTTCTTCCTTAAGTTAAACATTTCATGATAATCAGGAAGGGCAAGGTTATGTTGCAATAAGATCTTAACCCACAGTAAAAAGTAGATCTTAACCCACAGTAAAAAGTAGATCTCAGTGGCTTAACTCAATAAGGAGACTTAATTCCACAGTTATTCAAATGACTCAGATTATGGAGTTTCCAGCATCTCATACACCACCATGTACCTACTTGCAAGTTCCATTGGTTACTGTTAGTCAAATGTCCCCAACCTAACAGCAGAAAAGACTGAGAAATGTACAGGAGCTTTGGAATACTGGCGAGCATCACTGTCTCCAAAAGTTATACTGTTATTATCTAAGGTAAGGACAAATGCTCAAGACTGGTAGGTTGTCCTCTAGAACACCCACACGCTTTCCTCCAAGTTATATGCTGAGTAAGACTCAGTTCTTTGTGTTAGCAAACTTATTTATAGACGATGTACTTATTATTTTAATTAATTATCCATTAAAGATTATACTATCCAATGAAATCTGGGTGCAAAACATAGTTGTTTCTATGAAACTGTCAATGGAAGAAAGAGAAGACGATTTTGACCCTCTCGTTAATAAAGAATCTTCCAGCATGTGTGCTCAGTGTGACAATGTTGAACTGTAAGAATGTCCTAGAATATAATCTATCACCCACCCCGATTATAGGGCTTATGCTTCAACTAGAAAAATCAGATCTCGATGTTCCCCTAAACTTTGAGTCTTGTTCAATCCCTAGCCCTGCCTCTTCCCTTTGCAGGGTCAAAAGCCAGGAGCTACACACAGAGACTGAGGACACGCTGGACAACCCAGCACATGCCTTCCCCATTTCCCCAAAAGTGTTACTCCCTTTTGATCCCTATGGTGAATGACAGTGCCCACCCTGAGGAAGAGGACAAAATCGGCACAAAACTTTTGACTCCATTCAGCATTCTACTTGGGGAAAATTCAGACCATAACCCTGGGGAGCAGAATCTCAAGTGTTGGTGCCTCTTTGTGCGCCAGTGTCCCTGTCTGAGGACCTGCATGACAGCCTGGAGTACAGGAGATGAACGTCCCAAGGAGACCTAGTTCTCCACTCTGACCTCATCCATAAGAAGGAAGAGCCTGCCAAAGACTTCTCACGCCCAGTGTGTGGGTGAGGGAGAAAGGAAGATGGGATGCCTGCTTTCAGGGTCATGGCCTTACATAACCTCGCAGAAGCTCCCAGACTCTGGCTTCATGATGAAACTCAGAGACTGAGATGTAGACCAGCTTCAGGGCTGGGCCCACATCAAAGGGGCCACAGTGTGTAGTTACCTCCCTCATAACCGGGAAAAGAGTGTCATCAGGAATCAACAGGTTACAACGTCTATGACAAAGGGAGCTCAGACAAGGAGTGGAATGACTATGAACAGGTACCCCCAATGAGGGACCCTAGAACCAGAGGGAGCTCTGCCATTTGTCCTGTGGGCTCCACAAGAAACAAACTGCCCCTTACACCCCTCCACTGTGAGGAGGCTGTGGAGGCTGAGGTGCTCCACATGGCTGGTGTAGACATCTGCACACTGGAAGTCATTTCCAGGACCACAAGGATCTGGAAAATCCAGTCCTCCTTCCTAATAAGAGCGATGGACACAATGCTGGCTGTCAGCATCCCGTGCACAGGACAGTGTGTTTGAGAGGTGTGCATGTTACCCAGGCTTGGCCAATCAGAATCTTTCCTAAAGTTGTTAAAACTCTGGTAGACATTCTAGAAACATATATTAACAGAGACAGACAAACAGACACACACACACACACACACACACACACACACACACACAGCAAGAGAGAGAGATGAGATAAGATATGAAGTGATAAGGAAGAGAAATGCAGAAAAATAGATGCAAAAAGAAACACGGAGATAGAAAAAATGCAGATAAACAGTGACAATGGATTAGAAAAATAGAAAGAAAGGCAACAATGTAGTGAAAGACAACAAGGGGGCACGGAAAAAAATGCAGAGAGACACGCAGAAAGAACTATACAGGGACAAAGGGATACAGAGAAAGAGAGGCAGATTCACAGATAGAGATACAACAGAAAGAGAGAGGTGAAGATCTCATTGTGTATCTGGAACTAGTCACTTCTGAAATCAACTTGACTCTAGGCTTCCTTTGCACCATGAACAAAATATATTTGGGTTTCTATCATTTAGACTCAAAAATAATACTTTTATTGCTGGTTATGCTTTCTTAAAAGTAAAAATTATTCTTGATTGATGTGACTTGCCAGAATGTTTGAAACACCAGTGACCAAGGGTCACTATATCTGCCCCCAAACAATTCCACCATGCTTACTTATATAGCACTCACCAAACCAGAAGAGAGGCTGGGATATTCTCAGGCCACTGCATTGAACATCAATATGAAAGAACCATGAATGATGCGACAACTGAGTTGATCTTCTACCTCCTCTGCCCACCCTGACTTTGCACCCAAAATTCTTTCAGTGTCTTTTCAAGGTACAACCCTCCTTCTGGGCACAGGTTGGCTGGGTCACCTCAAGGTATGTTCCTTCATTCTGCAGTGATTTCCTGCCTCTGCTCAATTAAGGAAGTTGAGAATACAGATAACTCAGGATCATGTTTAATTATGTAAAAAAGCTCTAAAGTCAGGTAATGGTTTTCATGTGCTTCTCTTGAGCAGTCTGAGGAGAGAATAGAAACAGAAACCCCTTGGGGCCTCAGTAGACGCAGCTGGCCGTGCACAGGCAGAGGCTCTGGGTCAGTGCAGGAAGCAGGGTCACAGCCATCAGCCTTGAGGTGGGGATGAAAGGAGATGACCTGGTGGCTGCGTGACAGCCACTGTAGGACTCTGATCTCGGGGGACAGGCTGACACAGGCAGCTGGGAATTCTGGGCAGGGACAAGCAGGCGTTACAGAAAAGTGATAACCAATCCCAGTTAAAATAGTCTCAGGAGTCAGTGCAGGAGCCCTGAAGAAGAGAGAAGAGGGATGATCAGCACAGGGTACGCTGGTGGGCCTGCAATCTCCCCCACCCCTCAGGGGCCCCCTGCAGCTTCAGACAGAGAAAGCTGAGGTCCAGAATGTATTATCGTCACCTCCCGCAAGATCTGTGCAAAGGTGAAATCAGCTCATGAGGACACAGAACTTCAGCTTGATGCAGATGTGTGGGAAGTGGTGGAACAGCTGTTACTCTTCTGGGGAATATGAAGGGTTCAATCTTTTTAGAAAATTGGATGATACCTCATCCCTACCACTAGCAGCCTCTTTCAGTCACTGGAAAATGCCTACAGGCAGTAGCCACCAACATGTGGCACAAAGTGGGCATCATCCTCTTGTCTAACATTTAAGCTGTGGTTCTGGCTTCACATTTCACAAGAAGATACCACCAAAGTTAAGGCTTGGTTCTGGGGAACAACCTCTGGAGATTCCTAGAAACTGGCAAACTTCGACCCTAAGTCTTGATCCTCATAGCAGCAAATATACCATGAACAGAGACCATTGTGGTCAGGTGCATTCAGCTCATGCTCTTCCCTCTTACACCTGTGCCCCCCCACACTGGCTCATGGCTGAAATATCACCTGCTGGTGGAGGCCCTTGAGGTCTTACAAAAGGAAGTTATGCAGAGAAAGGTCTCATTACACAAACAGCCACTCTCTCACCCCAAAGGAAAATGACACATGTGACTTAATTAGAGTTATATTCTCTTACCACTCATGTTCTTCAAGGCCTTAAGTACCCTAATTTAAAATCCCCTAAAACAAAGAAAATTGTCACTAGAAGGCAAGGAGGCCAAGGCTCTGACCCTCTTAATGGAGGAAGCTTTTGGAAAGGAGCCAATGAGACGATGAATGGTAAGTACATCCTGGAATAAGCTCTATCAGTCACCTGTGTGACAGGGCTACCTTTCAACTAGTAAAATCAGATTCCAGTGCCTCCTCCAATCTTGTCCTGTCTCCTCCCACCTCCAGCTCAGTTTTCTTCCTCTCAGGGTCAGGAGGAAAGAGCCACATCTAGAGACAGGACCTCCCTGAACAGAGGGTCTGGGTCACAGCCCATCTTCCCCTTTTCCCTTGGGGTTCCTCACCTTTCTGACTCCTGTGATGGATAATAAGGCCCAGCCCGAGGAAGATCAGCCCCAGCACGAAGCCTCCAATGCCACTCAGCATCTTGCTCTGGGCAGATTCAGACTGAGCCCCTAAGAAGCAGAGCCTGAGTGTCAGTGTTTGTCCCTACACCCCATAGCATCCCTGCTGAGGAGCTGAAGTCCAGTCTGAGATGCAGGAGGTGAAAGTGTCAAAGGAACCTAGTCCTCCATTCAGACCACCCCTAAGGGAGGGGAAAGCCAGCCAATAGGTCCTTCGGTACAGTGAGTAGGTGAGAGAGCGGGGAAGCAGATCTCCACTCCTCAGGAACTCATCCATACCTTAAACCCTAAGATCCCAGTCACCAGCCCTAATAATAAGTCCCTCCGAGCTATCAGGACTGGGATCTGGAGAAACAGTACGTAGAATAATTTCCCTAGCATCTGGAAAGGTGATGAGATCAGGATTCTTCTGATGCACTTGCCATGGAGCAAGAGGTGCTCTAGTCTCCTGTGATCCCCAGCTCAGTAGTGACATCAGGGATAAGAGATGGGAAGGAATGGGTCAGAAGGAGCTCTGCCCTTTGTCTTGTGGGGCCCATAGTAACAGAAACTCAATATCCCCTTACGCCACTCCACGATGATGGGGTTCTGGAGGCTGGGGTGCTCCACGTGGCAGGTGTAGACGTCTCCACGCTGGGGAGTCATTTCCAGCATCACCAGGATCTGGAAGGTCCAGTCACCGTTCCTAATAAGGGGGGTGGACACAACGCCAGTTGTCTCCTCCTGGTCATTCCGAAACCACCGGACTTTGATCTGGGCTGGATAGAAATCTGTCACTGAGCAGACCAGCAGGTTGTGGTGGTTGAGGGCCTCTGTCCTGGATGGGGAGATGGTCACTGTGGGCTCCACTGAGGGCAGTAACAGACAGGAAAAGACAGGAGTGAGATGTGAGACCACACAGCACGTCTACCATTGGGAATGGTCCCTCCTTGGAACCAGAGTGGAAAGATACCTGGAGTCCAAGTCTTGGATTAAGATTCATTCAACAAATATAAATATGACAATCACTGAGAATCCAAAGATAAACAACATACCATGGTCCCTGCCTTTACAGAATGTGCGATCTAGTAACAGACAGCAAAAAACAAAAAGAATGTGATTTCAAAAGTCTGTAATATTTGAAACAAAAGTAGGCAGGCCTTCAAAACAAATAACACTGATCAAACATCATGTTTGCCCATAACTCGATTCCTTTATCTTCTCAGACTGCTGCTCATAGTAAAAAAATGACACATCTTTCCCTGTCTCTTTACACATCTCATCCTTTATCTTTCAGGCCACTTTATTGCATTTCCTTTATTCTCTTAGTGTGAAACTATAGTAAATATTTAATGTATGCTTTCTTTATTTAGTAATATGTTCTCTCATTTTCTTTTTTTCCTTAATTTATTTTTAACATACAAGTGAGTTTAATTACTAGCTGTCTACCCTACTCCATTCCCTTGCTATTGAGAATTACTTTTTTGTCCTGAAATCAGATATTATCATGTATGTTATCTGTAGAAAATATTCTGAGATCCTTGCAGAGATCAGCCTAGGTTAATGAGCCTGTAATGTGAACATATAAATATAGCTGAGATTTGCTGAGGTCAGCAGGTTGCACCCCAATTAAAAGGCACTCTTGAGCCATCATCCGGAAGGAATCACGGTTTCTGCTTGGACTTGAACTTTTCTTTGGTTCTCCTTCCTGGAGTCCACCTGAAATCACAGTCAGCTATGTGGCTTTATAAGATTTGTTCATCTTACACAGACTGGGAGTAAAATAGAGGGCACAAACTTATGAGAAAAGATGATAAAATAAATTTTATGGAAATAGAACCAAAATAGCAAAAATGTAAGTACTTGCTGGCACTACGATGTGAGTCAAAAGAAGGCAAGGGAGTTTAAAGTAAACTAAAAGTTTTGTGAATCTGCATAGGTAACACTGGAGTCAGACTAGGGATTGATTAATCATAAATTTTCAATGCCTTGAAAGTATCATTTTGTCCCATTAACATGGAGATCAAACAGGAAGAGACTCATTGCTGCTTCTAGTCAAAACTGGCTTTAACAAGGCTTTATGTCCCTTTGACTCTATAGATGTGTAGTGAAGAACATAAAGAATATTGTGTACTTTGGGAGGCTTAAGGTCTTGGTGAGTACTTGTGGGCTGATTACTTAAAGTGTTTGTCATGTACTAATATTAGGATATATAAAGTGGTGATGCTAATCTCTAATGCACAGGCAACTGTGAGATTAAATGACGTAACATAGACGGTATTTGATAAGGTAACTGTCTAGAAATAAGTGCTCACTAAATGGGTAAAATTGACTTTCAGAATGTTTATTCCTGAAGTGGATAGTGATGGGGGGAGGGGAGAACCTAAGCCAAAAGCAACCTGAAACTATTTTTATCCAATAATTTAATTGCTTCAATCTATTTATTCCAAAACTTCTGCTCTTTGCATTGTGCCATTTGTTCAGCTTTTCTAAGAAATTAAAACTGCCTTACAAACATCATTCAAGTGTTGTTTTTATTTTTAGCAAACACTTTTTTCCTCAGACTTTGTATTCACAAACTCTATTAAGATCCAAGTCAATAAGAGTTTACTTTAAAGAATTAAGCAAAATGACAGAAAATAATTAATAAAAGTCCATTTTTAAGGCTCTATTTATCCTCTGCTTTCCCTTGAGCCTAAGTGGATTGGCAGCTGAGCACATTTATTCATTAATTTAACAGAAGATCATTGAGCTCATACCACATGCCAGTCAATGTGTCAGATACCAGGCATGCAATGATTAAAACACTCTCATCTCAAAGAGCTCCGCCATGAATGAGAGCCATTTAAGAAAACAGAATTACGATGAATAATAATTTGAAGTCAAAAGTCAAAATATCTTATTTGACAACTGTAATTGCTGGATGCCCTGCGCGCAGTTGTGGGGCAGCCCTAACTCCATCAGGCCAAGTCTGAAGCTTCCCACTGCATGAGCTGTGTAGGTGGACCTTGCCGGGTGCGGCAGTGCTAGCCGGGCGGGCGGGCAGGGGAAGAGGGCGGAAATTGGGGGCAGAGAGAACTGTTTAGTAAAGGTAAGGCACGAGGAGGCAAACGCATAAGGCACGAGGCAAGAACGTGCAGAGCAGAGGGCGAGGCCGACGGACGGGGAGGATGGGGCGAAACTAGGCAGCTTGACCAACTCTGCCTGTCCCCCTGCTCTGCCCTAGGTCCCTGCCCCTCCGATGCACCAGCCCCCAGCACCCCCACCGCCTCCTCCTGTCAGCCGGGGTGGAACGAACAAGGCTCAGGTTCCAGAGGCCGCGCCCCCTTCGCCCCTCCTGGCGCAGAGACTCTGGGCCCCTGCCAAGGATGGGCCTCGCAGACGGGCGACGACGCTCACCTCGCCGCTGCAAGGTCGTGCGGAGCTCCAACTGGTAGTTGTGTCTGCACACCGTGTCCAACTCCGCCCGGGTCCTCTCCAGGACTTCCTTCTGGCTGTTCCAGTACTCGGCGTCAGGCGGCCCCAGCGGCGTCACCGCCCGATACACCCCCACGTCGCTGTCGAAGCGTGCGTACTCCTCTCGGTTATAGATGTATCTGGTCACAAGACGCACGCGCTCCGTCCCGTTGGTGAAGTAGCACATGCCCTTAAACTGGTACACGAAATCCTCTGCGGGGAATCACCGGCCGGTCAGTCAGGCCCCGGCCCGGCCCCAGCCCGGCCGCCCCCGCAGCCGCCGCCCTGACCCGGCCCGGAGCTGTGGAACCGCCCGCGCGACCTCCAGTTCCCGCCCGCCCGTGCCTGGCGCTCCAGACTTGTGATCCGCCCGGCGGCTCTGCCCAGCCCTGCCCGCCCTCTCTGGGGGCTTCGGGAATCCGCCTTCCTGCAGGCAGGAAAGGGCGGAAAGCCCTGTCCCTGCCGGAGCCTGTGAACCGAGGGAAGAGGCAGTCGGGCTGATTTTACATAGACCTCTGCACTTAGAGGGAATCAGGGCGCTCTCGCATGAAATCCCATTTTCCATTGAGCTCCTGGAAACCTCAGAGATAAAATTATCCACATAAACCTGTGAGTTCAAGGGAATGATGAGACGGGTCCAGAAATTAAGCCTGTCCTCGTTCTGATATGCGTATTCTCTTGGTCCCTCGGTAAAATACCTCCCTTCCCATGCCTGGATTTACCCTTCCGAATGCCATGTGAGGTTCACTCACTTTTATGTTAGAAAGGACCTACACCTCCGAGTCCTAGAAAGAAACATTTATTCATGGAAAGAGCACAAGCTTTTGAATTTGATAAACTAGATTCCAATTAAGCTGTGGCAGTCACCAGCTAGGGCAGGTATGTAACAGAATATCCATATCACAAGTATAATTGTGTAAAAGAAAATCATGATATCTACACACAGGATGTTAGAAGGAGTGAGAGAGAATTTATGTAAAGTATTGTGCTGTGTCTGAAATGAGTGGTTTCACAATATATGTTATTTCCCTTCTTTACATCCTCCTTTCTGCTAAATTCAGTCCACCAACTCGGGTCTCTGAATCCCACTCAAGTCACCATTTGCCCATAAATCAGTGAAACCTGAAGACTCCCTGTCTGTGGTCATCCAGTCAGCTTCCTTCAGTACCAAGATTTTGCCTCCACAAACGTTCCAGTCAGTCAGGAATACAGACAACTTTTCCTCAAATACGGAGACTACAGACACCATTGCTGCCTTACATTTCCCAATGCAGGATCCCATAATATTTAGTCCAGGCAAAGTCTTGGGGCACGCCTAAATGACAAATCCTGCTGTGTCTCTGGAGAAATTCGTATCTTCAAAAATAACCCCATGCTCACTTTGTCCTGTCACTGGTAGTAAATGTACACTTTGTCTCCTCTTTCCTCTCCTCTCTCCTTCTCTTCCAGGCTTAAGCCTGTAGGATGGGGATCCGACTGTGCTCACCTCATCACTAAAAGATAAATGGGAATGCAACATCGTTCTCTTTCCCCAAAGAGAGGAAATGTTGATGAAAGATTGTGTCCGAGATCATGGAGATCACCATCCCCCTACCCCAGCCCAAGGAGAGCCTGTTCCCAGAGTGGCGGCTCTGGAGAGCAGTGGCCCTGCACTTACCGGGAGAGTCTCTGCCCTCAGCCACCGGGGTGCTCAGCATCGCCAGCATCAAGGTCACAGTTGCTACCCGAAGGCCTCCAGGGATCCGCAAAGCCTTCTTCCAAGACATAATTGAGACGAAGGGAAAAGTAGTGGTAGTCAACACAGCTTGGACCTGATGGATCTGATGTACCTGGCAGAAAGAATAAAAACCTGTGGATGTTTCCCTGCGTGGCAGGATTGGATGGTCCTTTGGAAAGGAACCAATCAGCACTGGAGCTGAAGGACCTAATCTGTCTCTAGGCAGACATTTTTTTTTTGTGAAGGTTCTCAATCCAGTCCCTGGCACTGTGACGTCTTCAAATTGCACTGGATGAACATTTGAGGTGAAAACTTCCTCTCAATTATAGAAGAGCTGAAGATTGAATGCCTAAGGGATTTTAAGAAGCCAAAGAAAAATGCGATTCAACAGTAAACATCTTTGTAATATTGATTAAAAACTGGTTGTTTTTATACTTGGGATTCTTTCAGTAGGGCAAATTAAGTGGGGATCATATTTCAGGGGAGAGAAAATTGCTGTCATAGACATTTTTACTGCTGTTGTCTTAGACACACCCTGAGGAGCCTTAAGTTTTGGTGAGAAGAGCAAAGTTCTTAGAAGGAAATAATGGTGAGTTGCAGTTCCACCACTAATGTGCTTTAGGAGAGTCAACAAATAACTGAATTTATTTTTGCCCCAGGATTCTCTTTGTAAAATATGGGTCATGTTTCATGCATTTTACAGCTAGATCTTCACATATACAAATTTAAGATTAATATGACTTGTTTAATATTACAAAAGGCTCCTCAACTGTTATGTGTAACTATCAGATTAATATGTGGAACAAGAAGACAAGCCAAAAAAAATTGATACCCACCTCTGCTGGTAAATGATTCTTCATTATGCAAGAATATATTGTATTTATGCTCTTCGAGTAAAAGTATTTGAAAAGTTTATTAAGTTGACATTTCTGTTTTAAGTTCTTCAGCTGTTTAAATCGTCCCTGAACCATGAAATGGGTGCATCTGATATCAGCAAAGGCACAGTACACAAACCTTTACAGTATTCAGACACAGTCATGTTTAGTTTTGAAGAGAGAGAGCAAAAGCTGTAGAGAAGCATTTCCTAGGTCCTGAATAGTATTAATGATGGAGAAAATGTTTAGTCACAGATTGTACTGTGCCAGCCCTAAATATCAAATCCCAAATGGCAGAGGTATCAATGTGGTTTTTTTTCCATTTTTAAAAATTTATTTAACAGTTCCTTATGGACATATCCACATCAATGTGTTTTTATAAATAAACGAAATCAGGTTCCTCTTGCCAGTGACTAGGGGCAGTACTAATGGTTATAAAGCAATTAGAACAATGCCTGGTGTGGGCAGCAAGCCACCCAGGTGCCGAGGCAACAGACCGAGGGCACGAGCTGTTCCAGTATAATAAAGAAAATATATAAAATAAGAATAGTTATACTAGATATAGATCATATATATGATTATATATGAATATCATTAATCATTAGTTTGTAGCAATTACTCTTCATTCCAATATTATAATAATCTTCGCTCTACAATCATAATCTAGGAAAAACCAGGCCATACAGAGATAGGAGCTGAAGGGATATGGTGAGAAGTGACCAGAAGACAAGTGTGAGCCTTCTGTGATGCCCAGACAGGGCCACTAGAGGGCTACTTGGTCTAGCGGTAACGCCAGCACCTGGGAAGACGCCCGTTGCCTAGCGGACCTTGCTCTAGCGGTAGCATCAGTACCTAGAAAAAGCACCCGTTACTTAGCAGACCGGGAAAGGGAGTCTCCCTTTCCCCGGGGGAGTTAGAGAAGACTCTGCTCCACCACCTCCTGTGGAGGGCCTGACATTAGTCAGGCCCGCCCGCCGTTATCCGGAGGCCTAACAGTCTCCCTGTGATGCTATGCTTCAGCGGTCACGTTCCTGGTCCGCTTTCATGTTCCACCCTGTACACCTGGCTCTGCCTTCTAGATAGCAGTAGCAGAATTAGTGAAAGTACTAAAAGTCTCTGAAATGCAGAAATAATAACGTAAGCTGTCTCCTCTCTCTCTCCGCCTCGGCTGCTAGACAGGGAAGGGCCCCCTGTCCAGTGGACACATGACCCACGTGACCTTACCTATCATTGGAGATGGCTCACACTCCTTACCCTGCCCCCTTGTCTTGTATCCAATATATAATAGCGCAGCCTGGCATTCGGGGCCACTAACAGTCTCCGCCTCTTGGTGGTAGTGGTCCCCCAGGCCCAGCTGTCTTTTCTTCTATCTCTTTGTCTTGTGTCTTTATTTCTACGATCCCTCGTCTCCGCACACAGGGAGAAAGACCCACAGACCCTGTAGGGCTGGCCCCTACAGACTGGCAAACATTACTTCTGACCTCAACCAAGACAATAAATATCTCCACCTCTCTTCTTCTCTCCCTTTCTCTCTTTCTCTTCCCGAAATTTTAGGTTCTGCTTTTAAAGTAGAGAATACAATCTAAAATCAGAATATAAGTTTACCAGGTAAAAAGAAGCAGGCAAGAGGCAACAGCAAGAGGTTTGCAATAGTGGCACATGAAAGCGTTGAGCCACTCCAATATTCTGTATTATTCAATGCATAATTCTAGAGCACCTGAGACTGGGAAAGTTGCCACTGGGCATCCAGCAGCAGTGGTGTACTCAGGGTCAGGGTAAACCCAGTCTAAGGAGGGTCTCCACTGCTGTGATGGACGCATAAAGGAGGAACCATACGCACACCTGGAATGGAGTTGGCACAAGGAATAATAGGCAGAGAGACCTGAAGGTGCCCTCAATGTCCTTCCTCAGCCCCCACATCAGTGTCCCTCAGGATAGAGGCCTCTAATGCATCCTATCCTTCCTGTTTAAGGGAAAAATTTCCCGCAGGTTTATTCTGAGGCAAAGGCTGCATCAGACCTGGGGATTCCCCAGTCTCACAGGCCTCTTTGCACAGACTTTTCAGCTAGCAACAATTGTCACTTCAGAGCCTTTTTCTGATTGGCTAAAACCTCACTGGAAAGGTTTTGCTTTGGGCTTCTGCCAGCTGTGTCTGCCTGACCCAGCCTTCTCTACAGTTGTCTACCCTGGCCCTATCCCTGCTGCATTATTCAGGGCATTCAGGCAGAAGAAGGCCAGCGAAGAAAGAAACTAGGTCAAGCATCCTTATTCCGAGTGTCTCACCTGAATCGCCTGCCCAGCCTCTGTGGAGGCAGAGCAATTAGAGCATTTACTCCATATGGGTAAATGGGCTAAAAAGTCACTGCCATTAGTAGGGAGGGTCAGGGTTACAGTAGGGAGACTGTCTTTAGGGGACATCCTCTCTTCCTTCAGGCTGGAAGAAAAAGTCGTGGACTCCTTCTTTGTGAAAATCAAGGGAGAAATCATCTTCTCTGGTCAACATCTCTTGGAATCTGTGCTTGGTCAGTGGAGTGAATGTGAACATAGGAGCCATCCTGTCACCAGAAGGACCATCCAAGACCTTACCCTGCATTTACTTCAGGAATCAAGAATCACTGTATATTCTGAAAGGTTCTGTGGCCTCCTTAATGCCAATGGTAATATAACTAGAAATGCTGCTCCCAGAATATTGTTTTCTTTTAATTAAAATTTATCAAGCAATTATCCCTAAATTTTTCAAAATCTTTGTGAAGCCACTTACATATTTCTTTTATATCAACTTCTAGGTTACCAGTTATATATAACAATATTTCGTGGCACATATAAACTAGGTCCTTTCTCTTGGCACAAAGTTATCTCTTTAAAATCTCAGTCTAGAGAATCTGAAGAAAGCACCAAATCAGTAGCATTCAGGGGCTGTGTTCAGACAGTGCCTCCCACAAGCAAGTGGCCATGGTGAAACTCCAGGGTGGAAGTCGGGTAAGAATTGGAGGATGATGGAGAGTGAAGGGGTAGGAGTATGGGAAAAGCTTTAGCAGGAAGATAGAAAATCAGGTGATACAGGACATTTGGGACATTTGAGGGGATATGAGGAATGTGGGTGATCTTGGCACAGAAGCCCAGACCTCACCAGTCCCATGGCTCCTCATGCTCTATGAAAATAGCCCTTGAAGACAGAAGACTGGAACAAAAACCAAACTGCCTGCAGTGGATATGCTGTACAATGAAGCTTTGTTTCCTGATCTATATTTTCAGGTTCCTTCCTTCTGTCAATCTCCTCATCCACGCATTGCCTCAGTTGGACCACTCGTGATTAAACTACCAGGAGCTAACCTACACATGTCACTCTTTCCAACACACCTCTGCTTGTCTCTACTTCTGGTTCCGTAGTGATGCCTGGGATATTTCCAGAGACAGCTCTTCCCCCAGCCTCTAGATTAGTAGTCACCATGCTCCTTCATTCCCAGAAAAAACTTAAATATTTCTCTGGGAGATCTTTATAATGTCTCCTTTTTCTGTAAGTTCTTACCAGTAAAGAGAGGCCCTAATGTTCAGCCACATAAAAGTATATATAGTTCTTGAGTACTTAAACCCATATCCAAGTACTCAAAAACTCGTCTGTCCAAGAACTCAGCTCAAGGCCATGGTTCATGCAAAACAGCAACATTAGCAGTAATATTCTGGGGAGAATACTCTTACACCCTCAAATAGGAAAACTTAAGATATTCCATTTTAACCACAATGACATATCACCTCACATCTGTCAGAATGGCTATTATCAAAAAGACAAAAGATAACAAGTGTTAAGGATGTAGACAAAAGGAAACATTTGTACGCTGTTGGTGGGAATGTAAATTAGTACAACCATTATGGAAAACAATATGGAAATTCCTCAAAAAGTTAAAAATAGAACTATCATATGATGTAGTAACCCCATGTACAGGATTTAGACAAAGAATTTAAAATTAATATGTTGAAAATATACCTATACTCCTATGTTCCTTGCAGCATTATTCACAATAGTCAAGGTATAGAATCAACCTGTGTCATTCAGCAGATGAATAGATAAAGAAAATGTGGTATGTATACACAATTAAATCCTATTCAGACTTTAAAAAGAAGGAAATCCTGTTGTAAGTCAGAAAGTGACTGAGGTAGGTCTCAATCAATTAAAGGTTTATTTTGTCATGGTTGAGGAATACACCTGGGAAAAACACAAATCACAGGAGCATCTGTGATCCATGCTTTTGCCAAAGAGGGTTTTGAGAACTTCAGTATTTAAAGGAGAAAGAGCAAGCAGGAGGGGAAGGAGAAAAAAAAGGAGGAAGAGTAGGCCATGACACAAATGGTTACATTCCTGAGTCTTTGATTAGCCTCAGTAAATCTACATTTTACTTGTGAAAAGAGAGTAGAGGAAAAAGTTGATTATAAATTATCTTATGCTCAGTAAATCTACATTTTACATAAAATTAAGTAATGAAAAGAGGGAAGGAGTAGAGGAAATGAGGTTATGACACAGGGTTGTGAAATTACCATTATCGGTTTGGAAACAAAAGGAAGACAGTATTGGTGCCTCAGCCCTCAAGATTAACTATTTTTCTTTCTTTTTTTTTTCTTTTTTTTATTATTATACTTTAAGTTTTAGGGTACATGTGCACAACGTGCAGGTTAGTTACATATGTATACATGTGCCATGTTGGTGTGCTGCACCCAGTAACTCATCATTTAACATTAGGTATATCTCCAAATGCTATCCCTCTCCCCTCCCCACACCCCACAACAGGCCCCGGTGTGTGATGTTCCCCTTCCTGTGTCCATGTGTTCTCATTGTTCAATTCCCAACTATGAGTGAGAACATCATTCTTAGCAAACTATCACAAGGACAAAAAACTATTTTTCTTTCACACTGTTATTTGTGACAACGTGCATGAACCTAGAGGCCATTATGCTAAGTGAAATAAGCCAGACAAGGAAAGACAAGTAATGCATGATCTTACTTATATGAGGAATCTAAAAAATCCCATTTTTGAATTGAATTGTTTCTTTATTTTATTTTATTTTGTTTTATGTTCTAGCGTACATGTGTAGGACATGCAGGTTTGTTACATGGGTAAACGTGTGGCATGGCGGTTTGCTGCACCTATCAACCCATTACCTAGGTATCAAGCCCAGCATGCATGAGCTATTTATCCTGATGTTCTCCCTGCCCCGGCCCCTGCCCCTCACAGGCCCCAGTGTGTGATGTTCCCCTCCCTGTGTCCATGTGTTCTCATTGTTCAGCTCCCACTTATTAGTGAGAACATGCAGTATTTGGTTTTCTGTTCCTGCATTAGTTTGCTGAGGACAATGGCTTCCAGCTCCATCCATGTCCCTGAAATGGACATTATCTCATTCCTTTTTATGGCTGCATAGTATTCCATGTTGTGTATGTACCATATTTTCTTTGTCCAGTCTATCACTGATGGACATTTGGGTTGATTCCATGCCTTTGTTATTGTGAATAGTGCTTAAATAAACATACACATGTGTGTATCTTTATAATAGAATGATTTATATTCCTTTGGGTATATACCCAATGATATGGTTTGGCTGTGTCCCCACCCAAATTTCAACTTGAATTGTATCTCCCAGAATTCCCATGTGTTGTGGGAGGGACCCAGGGGGAGGTAATTGGATCATGGGGGCCAGTCTTTCCCATGCTATTCTCATAATCGTGAATAAGCCTCACAATATCTGATGGGTTTAGGAGGGGTTTCTGCTTTTGTTTCTTCCTCATTTTCTCTTGCTGCAGCCATGTAAGACATGCCTTTCACCTCCCACTATGATTCTGAGGCCTCCCAAGTCATGTGGAACTAAGTCCAATTAAACCTCTTATTCTTCCCAGTCTCCAGTATGTCTTTATCAGCAGTGTGAAAATAAACTCATATAGTAAATTGCTTCCAGGAGTGGGGTGTTGTTGAAAAGATACCTAAAAATGTGGAAGCAACTTTGGACTGGGTAACAGACAGAGGTTGGAACAGTTTGGAGGGCTCCAAAGAAGACAGGAAAATGTGGGAAAGTTTGGAACCTCCTAGAGATTTGTTGAATAGCTTTGACAAAAATGCTGATAGTGATATGAACAATAAGGTCCAGGCTGAGGTGGTCTCAGATGGAGATGAGAAACTTGTTGGGAACTGGAGCGAAGGTGACTCTTGTTATGTTTTAGCAAAGAGACTGGTGGCATTTTGCCCCTGCCCTAGAGATTCGTGGAACTTTGAACTTGAGAGAGATGATTTAGGGTATCTGGCAGAAGAAATTTCTAAGCAGCAAAACATTCACGAGGTGACTTAGGTACTGTTAAAAGCATTCTGTTTTAAAAGGGAAACAGAGCATAACAGTTCAGAAAAACTGCAGTCTAGTGATGCAGTAGAAAAGAAAAATCCATTTTTTAGGAAAAATTCAAACCAGCTGCAGAAATCTGCGTAAGTAGCAAGGAGCCTAATATGAATCCCCAAGACCATGGGAAAATGTCTCCAGGCCATGTCAGAGACCTTCACAGCAGCCCCTCCCATCACAGAACCAGAGGCCCAAGAGGAAAAAGTGGTTTTGTGGACCAGGCTCAGGGTCCCTGTGCTGTGTGCAGCCTAGGGACTTGGTGCCCTGTGTTCCAGCTGTTCCAGCCATGGCTGAAAGAGGCCAATGTACAGCTCAGGCTGTGGCTTCAGAGGGTGGAAGCCCCAAGCCTTGGCAGCTTCCATGTGGTGTTGAGCCTCTGGGTGCACAGAAGTCAAGAATTGAGGTTTGGAAACCTCCACCTAGATTTCAGAAGATGTAAGGAAATGCCCAAATGCCCAGGCAAAAGTTTGCTTCAGGGGCAGGGACCTCATGGAGAACCTCTGCTAGGGCAGTGTGGAAGGGAAATGTGGGGTCATAGCCCCCACACAGAGACCCTACTGAGGCACGGCCTAGTGGAGCTGTGAGAAGAGGGCCACCATCCTCCAGACCCCAGAATGGTAGCTCCACTGACAGCTTGCACTGTGGGCCTGGAAAAACCACAGACACTCAGAGCCAGCCCCTGAAAGCAGCCAGGAGGGAGGCTGTGCCCTGCACAGCCACAGAGGCAGAGCTGCCCAAGACCATGGGAACCCACCTCTTCTATTGGCATGACCTGGATGTGAGACCTGGAATTAAAGGAGATCATTTTGGAGCTTTAAAATTTGACTGCGGCTGGGCGCGGTGGCTCATGCCTGTAATCCCAGCACTTTCGGAGACTGAGGTGGGTGGATCACAAGGTCTGGAGATTGAGACCATCCTGGCTAACACGGTGAAACCCCGTCTCTACTAAAAATACAAAAAAGTTAGTCGGGTGTGGTGGCGGGTTCCTGTAGTCCCAGCTACTCAGGAGGCTGAGGCAGGAGAATGGCATGAACCCGGGAGGTGGAGCTGCAGTGAGCAGAGATCATGCCACTGCACTCCAGCCTGGACAACAGAGCGAGACTCCGTCTCAAATAAATAAATAAATAAAAATTAAAAAAAATAATAAAATAAAACAATTTGACTGCCCCGCTGGATTTCAGGCTTGCATGGGCCCTGTAACCCCTTTGTTTTGGCCAATTTCTCCCATTGGAATGGCTGTATTTACCCAATACCCGTACCCCCATTGTATCTAAAAAGTAACTAGCTTGCTTTCGATTTTACAGGCTCATAAGTGGATGGGATTTGCCTTGTCTCAGATTAGACTTTGGACTATGGACTTTTGGGTTAATGCTGAAATGAGTTAAGACTTTGGGGAACTGTTGGGAAGGCATGATTGGTTTTGAAATGTGAGGAAATGAGATTTGGAGGGGCCAGGGGAAGAATAATATAGTTTGTCTGTGTCCCCACCCAAATCTCAACTTGAATTGTATCTCCCAGAAATCCCACGTGTTGTGGGAGGGACCCAGGAGGAGGTAATTGAATCATGGGGGCCGGTCCTTCCTGTGCTATTCTCATGACAGTGGATAAGTCTCACAATATCTGATGGGTTTATCAGGGGTTTTTGCTTTTGCTTCTTCCTCATTTTCTCCTGCCACTGCCTTGTAAGAAGTGCCTGTTGCCTCCCACCACGATTCTGAGGCCTCCCCAGTCATGTGGAACTGTAAGTCCAATTACACCTCTTTTTCTTCCCAGTCTTGGTAATGTCTTCATCAGCAGCATGAAAACGAACTAATACACTCAGTAATGGAATTGTTGGGTCAAATGGTATTTCTGGTTCTAGGTCTGTGAAGAATTGCCACACTGTCTTCCACAATGGTTGAACTAATTTACATTCCCCCCAACAGTGTAAAAGTGTTTCTTTTTCTCTGAAGCCTCGACAGCATCTGTTGTTTCTTGAGTTTTTAATAATCACCATATTGACTGGCATGAGATGGTATCTCATTGTGATTTTAATTTGCATTTCTCTAATGATCAGTGATGTTAAGCTTTTTGCATATGTTTGTTTGCTACATAAATGTCTTCTTTTGAGAAGTGTCTGTTAATGTCCTTTGCTCACTTTTTAATGTTTTTTGTTTCTTGCAAATTTGTTTAAGTTCCTTGTAGACTCTGGATACTAGACCTTTTTAAGATGGATAGGTTACAAAATTTTTCTCACATTCTGTGTGTTGCCTGCTCACTCTGAAAATAGTTTATTTTGCTGTCTGGAAGCTCTTTAGTTTAATTAGATCCCATTTGTCAGTATTTGCTTTTGTTGCAATTGCTTTTGATGTTTTTGTCATGAAGTCTTTGCCCATGTCTATGTCCTGAATGGTGTTGCCTAGATTTTCTTCTAGGGTTTTTATAGTTTTAGGTTTTACATTTAAGTCTTTAATCCATCTTGAGTTAATTTTTGTATAAGGTGTAAGGAAGGGGTCCAGTTTCAACTTTATGCATATGGCTAGGCAGTTCTCCCAGCACCATTTATTAAATAGGGAATCCTTTCCCCATTGCTTGTTTTAATCAGGATTTTTGAAGATCAGATGGTTGTAGATGTGTGGTCTTACTTCTGAGTTCTGTGTTCTGTTTCATTGGTCTGTTTTTGTACCAGTACCATGCTGTTTTGGTTACTTCAGCCTTGTAGTATAGTTTGAAGTCAGGTAGCATGATGTCTCCAACTTTGATTTCCCTGGTGGGGTAGCACAATCATTCACCACCTCCCTTGGCTAGGGGTGGAAGTTCCCTTACCCCTTGCGACTTCCGGGTGGGCTGTTGCTCCACCCTGCTTTTCTTCACTCTCCGTGGGTTGTGCCAACTGCCTAGTCAATACCAGTGAGAAAACCTGGATACCTCAGTGGAAGGTACAGGGTTCACTCACTGTTTCCATTCTCCTTAGTGGGAGCCACAGACCAGAGCTACTTCTAATCAGCATTCTTGGCCCTTCCCTTGTTTTTTTTATTGTTGAGTTTTAGAAGTTCTTTACAAATCCTGGATTTTTTTTAAGAGACAGTGTCTTTCTATCTTGCCTACTTGCCTAGGCTGGTCTTGAACTCCTGGGCCTAAGTAATGCTCCTGCCTTAGCCTACCAAGTAGCTGGGATTACAGGTATGAGGCACCGTGCCTGACCATATTTTGGATATTGATCTCTTATGAGATATGCTATTTGTCAATATCTTCTTTCATTCTGTTGATTACCATGTTTACTCTATTGACACTGTCCTTTCGTGCACAGAAGTTTTAAAGTTTTTATGTCACATTTATTAAAGAGAAAGTTCAAGACATGATATAGAAGAGTAATAGGAACATGTTTGTCCGTATAGTTGCCATTCAACTAAATTAATTGATTTCTGTAATGTGCCATTTGGGACAAAAGCAATAACATTGTAGAATCTTTCCAAGAGTTTCACTTTCTATTTTCAAAGACCAACAATTCAACCCAAGTGAATTACTGCAAAAGCATCCTGACTGGTCTCCTTGCCTCTACTTTATAATGCAGACATTGCTCATAAATCCAAGTTAATCTCTCTGAGTGTTAGTTCCTTCAACTGCAAAATGAGAATATTTATTCCATGGAGTAATGCTGAGGATTAAATGAAATGGCAAATATAAAGCACCAAAAATAGTGTTGAACACATAGTAGATAATAATAATAATTTTAAAATATTTTTAATATTTTTTATATAAATAGTTTTTGAGGTACAAATGACTTTTTGTTACATGGATAAATTGTATAGTTGTGAAACCTGAGATTTTAGTGCACCTGTCACCCAAGTAGCATAAATTGTACTCAATATGTAGTTTTTTATCCTTCACCCCCATCCCATCCTCCCCTCTTCTGAGTCTCCAGTGTCCATTTTACCACTCTGCATGCCTTTGTGTACCCATAGCCTAGCTCCCACTTGTAAGTGAGAACATACGGCATTTGTTTTTCCTTTCCTGAGTTAGAAGTTTTAAATTTTGATGAAGTCCAATTTATCTATATTTTCTTTTCTTTTCTATGTCTTTGGTGTTATGTCCAGGAAATCATAGCCTAATCAAATGTCATGAAGATTTTCCTTTATGTTTTTTTCTAATAGTTTGATAGTTTTAAGTTTTACATTTAGGTCTTTGATTCATTTTGAGTTCATTTTGTCTATGATCTAAGGTAAGAATCCAATTTCATTCTTTTGTGTGTGGACTTCAGTTTTCCCAGCACCATTGTTGAAAAGGCTGTCCTTTCCTCAATTAATGGCCTTTACACCCTTGTTGAAAATCGCTTGACAATATATGTCAGGGTAATTTCCTGGTTTTGATATTGTACTTTAGTTATATAAGATGTGACAATTGGGGAAAACTGGATGAAGGGTATAGAGAATCTTTCTGTACTATCTTGGTAACTTCCTCCGAATCTATAATTATTTCAAAATACAACATTGAAAAATAAAGTCAACCAAAATAATATGTTTATTTAAAAAGAAAACCAATTCAATAAGGTACCTAATAAAAATTTTCCAAAGTGAAATACAAAGAGAAAAGAAGAGTGGGGAATAAAAACAAAACAGAGCATCCACAAGCTGTAGTACCGTATCGAATGATACTATATTTTTGCCTGAAAAGTGTTAAACACTTATTTATTTATCTATTTTTAAACAAGGTCTCACTCTGTTGCCCAGACTGGAGTGCAGTGGTGCAGTCACGGCTCACTGCAGCCTTGACCTCCTGGGCTTAAGTGATCCTCCCGCCTCATCCTCTCGAGTAGCTGGGACTACACGTTTATACCACCACACTCAGTTAATTTTTGTATGTTTTGTAGAGATGATGTCTCCCCATGTTACCCAGACTGGTCTCAAACTCCTGGGCTCAAGCAATCCTCCAGCCCTGGCCTCCCAAACTGTTGGGATTGCCACACTTGACCTATTTTTTAAATTTACTTTTACTGTTTGTTTCTCTTTGTGTTTCACACTGAATAATTTTTATTGATCTATTTCAAATTCATTGATTCTTCCCAGGGCTGTGTCAAGTTTGCTGATGAGTTTGTCAAATGTATTTTTTATTTTTGTTAATGTATTTTTATTTTATTTCAATTTTATTCTTTCTCAGATTTTCCATCTCTGCCGAAATTACCTATCTAATCTAGCATGTTGTCTACTTTTCCGTAAGAGATTTTAGTATATTAATCACAGTTTATGAAGCAGGTTTACTAATTACCAATCCCAAAGGAGGACCCCCACTGTGTGGAGAATAGCAAAGATCACTACTATGCCAACCACTAGGAAAAGAAGTCCAGATACTTCTTTCCACTGCATCCTGAGCTACTGTTTAGGTCCACCATGCACTGGTTACCTATTATCTGAGTCTGATGAAATAGAACATGCACACACACAAGTTATGTGAAGCAGGTTTATTACTTAGAGATCAGTAGCAAGGGACAGAAGAAGCCTCAGCTCCATTGTGAGTCAGTCCCCTAAGGCTCAAGAAAGCTGTCTGGGACATACAAAGTATTGATGACACCAATTATTATATCATGATCTAAAGTGTAAGTCACAAGTCAAATTCTTGATCACTTCATTCATATTACATGTTCCAGATTATAACCCCACTGGAAAACTTCTCTAACAGTAATTTTGCAGGAACTCATGTGTTCTAAAACTACAACCTAGTGTGCATTTCTTCCTGCTAGACACTTAACACACTGTGACCATGTGACTTAAATTGTCCATATGATGCTGAGAGTTATAAGATTCATAGAATCATAAGTTTGGGCATACCAACCACAATCCATCATGCAATTGAAGTAGTAAATTTGAAACTAGACTGCAGCAGGTTTAAAAACTAGTTGGTGGTTCTGGTTTGGTGATAGAGACTACAATCCCAGAAGGATTTATGCTCTTGTTTATATTCTCCTTGATGGATTATAATTGTTTCAGCGTCTACTGTATTTTCATCTAATTTGGTCTTGAAGTCTCCCTCATGAGAACAGCTATAAACTAGTTTTGCTGTGCTGGAGCTCTAGGGAATTTGGGTGTGGAGTTTACAATGTACCTTCATGGGATGCTTCTTTATTCTGGAAGATGGTCTAATGCCTAAGTGTCTGACCTGTAACCAAGTGCCCCTCTCACAGGAAACTTGTTTATACTAGAAGACATTTTTGTGGCTCAGCCTGACCTGTGTCCAGTTTATTCCTGCCAAAATTTCACTCTCTGGGACAGCTCTGTCTGGGAAAGAAGTTAAATTTGAATGTGTCAGTTAGGTAAGACAGAAAGAAGACAATTCAACAAACCACATGACTCAAAATTCCAAAATTCATATATTAAAACCTAACCCTATTGTCCCCAATGTGATCATTTTAAGAGATGATTAAGTCATGAGGACATGACCCTCAAAGATGGGATTAGGGCCCTTATAAAAGGACTCAAGGTTGAAGGGAGTGCTTCCTTTCCCTTCCACCTTCCACCATGTGGTTCACTTTCCGCCATGTGAAGACGCTGCAAGATGGCCCTTACTAGATGCCAGTACCTTGATCTTGGACTTTCCAGCCTCCAGGATTGTGAGAAAATAAAATTATGATCTTTGTAATTTATCCAGTCTGTGGTGTTTTGTTATAGCAACACAAACAGTCAAAGACAACATCCTAGAGGGCAGTGTCTTCCAGCCAGCACCATTCAATTATTCTTCTGGACTGCTACATCTAGGTAATGGGGTATATATCATTATCCCATTGCTACATCTTCTTTGTTACTAAATGGGTTTTGTAGTTTTGAGCAATATTAAACATAGAATCCCATGAGTGTTTGAATGGCAGTGGTTTTGGAGGCAATGTGGGTGAGACTAGCAAATCCATATCCAAAGTGTATACTAATTCCAGAAAGAATAAATCACTTCCCCTCCAAGGTGGAAGGTTTTGATACAGTCAACCTGACACCAGTTGGCTGGCTGATCTCCTCAAGTAATGGGGCCATATGGTGAATTCAGTGTCATCCTCTACTGCTGGCAGGATGGAACTCAGCAATACTATTAAGAAGATAATCCTTGTTGACTCTTGACTGTAGTCCTGGTTGTTGAGCCCATGCATATTTCTTTTCCCTTCATTAGAGAAGGACTACAGTTGATAGCCATTCTCATGAGAGATGCCTCAGGAACAAATTAGAGGAAATACAATGATAATCTTTTAGTACTTTTATGCACGGTAATGACTATCAGTAGACACTAAAACAATCATAATTCAGCAAGGACAGGGTAAATAACAGTATAGACCCTTCTGGAATAGTTGTCTCTGTCACCCAAAAACAGAAAAACAAACTATACTAAATTCAGAGCATAAGGGGAATCAGGAGCGGCTTGTGACAGAGGGAGATGAATATTAGTTACAGCCATAATGACAACATAGTGGACACTGTAGCAAATTTCACTAACCATCTTGCCTTAATCTTCTAGATCACAATTGGCCACTCTTTCTGACCTCCCTATTTGAAGAAAAAATAAAGTATGTTAATTTTCACAGGAAAAAAAAAAGAGAGGCACCATATTGGAGTATGGCAACTTGGATCCCAGAATCACCAACTGGAGAAGAGCTACTCACAAATCATCGGTCTCTTCCTACTGTTACATTAGTGAGTTATAAACTTCTACGGTATTTCAGCCGTCATACACTTTCAAGCCTAGTTATTGTAGCAGTCTCACCTATTCTAATTAATATAAAAAGGAGAAATAATAATTGTAGAAAAAATTAAACGGAGAATATAAAAATTTTAATGGTTTCTCCTGAGCTAGACTTACTTGAAACGGTCCTCATTTTTTGTTTTAGTATTACCAGAGATGTAAGACAGAATCTCACGAAAATATTTAAGGTGGTGGATGAGGCCAAATTAGGCAACTAGGTTGTGTGTCTGGAATTCAAACCGTATTAAGTCCTCCCTGCCCGCCTTTCTCCTATCCTTTAGAGCAGAGCCTGATTCTCACATATTGTCCCATAAGTCTATATCAATCAAATCAATTCTTATTATCCTGAAAGTGCCTATGGAAACACTACCTTTTTTAAAGTTAAATATGAGCACTCTGCTCCATGCTGTTTTACTGATATTTAGAACTGTACAAACTTATATTCTTTACATTTGTGGGAAATTATTATATTGTAGATGAGCCTAAAATATTCTGTGAATCAAAACTTACTGTAACAAGTTGTAAAGAACAGCTTTAGTTGAAAGTGAATACATGAAACTAGCAGCCCAAACACTCAAAGCAAGAAGAATAATAACTAAGTGACCACAAAGGAAAATTTTTTTAATCACATGCCTGGCTCTTGAAGGTGGAGAAGGTTGTCTTGCTCAAAGGAAGTGGTTACTAGACCAGAGTGTAACCAAATACGGGATGCTGCTTTAAAAAAAAAAAGATTCACAAAAGTTGTGATTAAGTTAAACCACTAAGTACTTTCCTCTCCAGCCAATGAGAAGAAGTGAAGCAACATCATTTGTCTCTGGCAGACTAAGCCAGTAAGTCTGTTACAGAAAAAAAAATTACTTAAAAGAGCAATAAACATAGAAAATATCAAAGCAGTCTACTAGTCATGTGTGCAATACACAGAAAAGAATAGAAATTTACTTAAGGAGAGAAAAGTTTGATAAATAAAAGTATCACATTCTTGAACAAGACAATTTGTGTCAGTTTTCCAAAGTGCATAGACTTTGTGATGCTTTAATCTAAATATCAATAAGATAGTTTTGTTAACAAAATGTTTCTAATTTTTTTCAAGAGTAATAAATATATAAAATAGCTATTGATAAAAATCAGGGGGAGTTGCTCTAGTAGATGCTTACAAATAATTATAAAGCTAAACAATTAAAACATGTTTATACTGCCACCAAAAAAAAAAAAAAAGACAACTGTGGAACAACATTGACTGCACAGAAGCAGATCCAAATTTATGTTATGATTAATGAGATCAAAATTGTATTTATAGTAGTCCCCCCTTATTCACGGGGGATACATTGCAAGATCCCACAGTAGATTCCTGAAGCCACAGATTGTACCAAACCCTATATGAACTGTGTGTTTTCATACACATACATACCTATGATAAAGTGTAACTTATAAATTATTCACAGTCATAGATAAACAAAAACTAATAATAAAATAGAACAATTATAACAATATACGGTAATAAAAGTTAAGTAAATGGGGTCCCTCTCTCTTTCTCAAAATGTCTTACTGTACTATACTCCCCTATTTTCAAACTGTGATAAACCACAGATAACTGAAACTATGGAAAGTGAAACCATGGATAAGGTGGGGCTACTATATTATATTTCTAGAAGTTGGTGAACCTTTGAGAAAATTTTGGGATGGGACATAAACATATTTCAAAGAAGCTTCCAGTGTTATAGTTTATATTCTTCATTTCTTTGAGGCACAGAAGAACCCATTCCACTCTTTTGGAGTTAATCCAGGTTTGTGGGGTAAAGGACTGTAGCTAATGAGGATTGGAAGTCGGTGAGATATAAGGGGCTAGGAGGCAAGTTTTTGAAACATACTTGAACAGCATGGCACCTATATGGAATGGAAGAGAAAGCAGCATAGTGGTGAGGAAACTCTGGTGACTGAAGACATTCTCAGGTGAAATTTTTAGGAGAAAAAGCTATTTTAAGAGAATTTTAAATCATTTTCCTTGGTATTAGAAACACAATTCTAATTCAATGTTTTTCAAGAGATTGCAATAATGGTTTGGAGTGTTTTAAATGGTGCAGTGGGAAGTTTATTCTTGCTTGTTAAAGAATGCCACATTAGAACTGCTTTCAAGAACAGAACAAGTTATCCTGAATTTATGTTGGATAAATTTTTTAAAATGTAGTACATAATAAAAGCAGACTTTTAATTCAGTGGAATGAGGGAAAATTACTAAAAATGATGTTGGGTCTATTGGTTATTTAGTAGGAAAATAAAAAGAGCCCATACATACACACATACAGAGATGATATTGAGCTAGATTAAAAGTTTAAATGTAAATCAAGAAGGAACTCAAAATATAGAAAAAGATACATGTTAATATTTATTTTATTAAAAAGTGTTGGAATGATTTAAAGTAACAAAAAAGAAAGAAACCATACAAAAAATATTGTTAGACTATATTTTTAAATAATCATAAATACAACCACAACTTAAATGAAAAATCAAGAGTTAATATGTGAAATGTATATCAATTTTTAAGCATTGCGCTATATTAAAAGAAAGTGCTTATAGTGCAGCGTGTAAACCTTAAATGAGCAAAATATATTGTGTTAGTTTCCTAGCCACTGTCACAGAAAACTGGTACAAATGCAGAAGCTTAGAACAAAACCCATTTATTATATCAGTTTTCTAAGTCAGAAGTCTAGGCAGAGCTCAACTGGGCTTTCTGCTTAGGATGTCACAAGACTCAAGTCACAGAGCCATTGTAATTCTCACCTGAGTTTGGGTTCCTCTTCCAAGCTCATTGCCTGTTGGCAGAATTCATTTCCACATATGACTGAATTCCATGTTTTCAAGTTGGCTGTCAGCCAGCAGTCACTGTCAGCTCCTACTGGCCACTCTCAGGTCCTTGCCACATGGCCCTCTCCATCTTCAAAGTCAGCAATAGATAATGTTTCTCACATCCAATCTCCCTCTTTAGGAAAAGTTCAGTCCCTTTTAAAGGCTCACCTGATTAGGTCATGCTCACCCACAAAAATCTCCTTTTTGTAACGCCAAATGTGGTCAACACACAATCCAATCACAGTAGTGATTATTCCATCATATTTGCAGGTTCTACCCACAGTCAAAGCAAATGAGTTTTAGAAGGCATGTACAACAGGAGGTAATAGGTATTCTTAGGGGCCATCCTCAAATTTTATTTGCCATATTCACCCCTCTGGCCACCAGTAAGTTTGGTAACTCTCAAATGGAAAATATATTCACCCCTTCCCAAGGTCTCCCCAAAGTCTCATCCAATTACAGCCTCAGGTCAAGTCTAATATCCTATCTAAATCTTGTTAGTTCAAAGACCAAATTCTCAGTGCCTCCGTAGCAATTACAGGACCTGGAGGTGTGAGACTCAGGAACTTGACAGAATGTCCAGTTATAACTACGGACAGAGTCATGAAATGGGTTTATTAATATCTTATGCAGGGGACCAAGTATGTAAATGTCATTGAATCCCTGGGGATAGAGACAGGGAAGAACAGGAATCTGATGAAATTTACAGTCATTTAACTATAAAGGCTGGGTGCTGTTTTTTTTAACCCACAACTAACTTTGCTGGCAGGTTATTGAGAAGACACACCTAAGAGAATAATTAATTATACCTACAGGACCCCTTCTTCACCAAGACAGAAATAAAAATGAAGTCATTATTATTAGTGTTATCTGCACTCATCTTATTTATTTCATATACTTATATAGTATACACCAGAATATTTTATAAAATTAATTTTGTCTCCAATGAATTTATATTCTAGATGTTGATTTCACTGTCTTAATCCATTTTCCATTGATTATAATAGAATACTTGAAACCTTGAAACTGAGTAATTTATAAAGAAACAACATTTCTTTTTTTTTTTTTTTGAAATGGAGTCTCACTTGCTCTGTTGCCCAGGCTGGAGTGCAGTGGCACAATCTCAGCTCACTGCAATCTCCACTTCGCAGATTCAAGTGATTCTCTTGACTCAGCCTCCAGAGTAGCCTGAATTACAGGCATGTGCCACCGCACCCAGCTAATTTTTGTATTGTTAGTAGAGATGAGATTTACCTTGTTGGCTAGGCTGGTCTCAAACTCCTGACCTCAAGTGATCCACCCACCTTGGCCTCCCAAAGTGCTGGGATTACAGGCATGAACCACCACACCTGACCTAAAATTTACTTCTTATAGTTCTGGAGGCTTGAAAGTCCAAGAGCATGGTGCCAGCATCTTGTGAGTGCCTTCTTGCTTGTGGGGAACCCCTGCAGAGTCTTGATACAGTTCAAGGCATCACATGACAAGGGAGCAAAGAGGGCTAGCTCAAGTATCTCTTTCTGTTATCGAGCCTTAATACTCCATCCTCATGACCTCATCTAATCCTAATTACCTTCCAAAAGATTCTGCCCCTGAAATATCATAGTCTGATTTTCCACCCTGTGAATACTGTTACAATGGGGATTAAGTTTCAGCATGAGTTTCAGAGGGGACAAACATTTAAGCCATAGCTTTTCACCCCTGCCTTTCCCCACAAAACTCATATCTTTCTTCTTTGCAAATACATTCATTCCATCCTCGGAGCCCTAAAGTCTTAACTTGTTCTGGTATCAACACAGAAATCCAAAAAAACGTCCGATCTGTGAGCCTGTGAAATTAAAACCAGTTACCTACCTCCAAGATATAATGCTGAGACAGGAGAAATAGGCCAGAAGAAAGGAGTTACAGGCCTCAAGGAAGTCCGAAACCCAACAGGAAAGACATTCAATTTTAAAGCTGGAAATAATATCTTTTGAGTCCATGTCCTTCATCCTGAGCACACTGGGGCAGGAGTTGGGCCCTCAAGGCCTCTGGCAGTCCTGCTCCCATGGCTTTGGTGGTTGCAGCCCACATGTGGCTGTTCTCGTGGATTAGAGTCAGGCGCCTTGTCTTTTCCAGGCTCTCATTGCATGTTGGTAGCTCTACAGTTCTGGAGTCTTGGTGGCAGTCCTGCTGAAGCGGTGTCCTTGTCTGGGGTAATACATGAGGTTCATTGTCCCACAGCCATGGAAAACTAGGACATGGACACACCAGAGTGAGGTTAAGAGTGGAAGTTTAATAGGTGAAAGAAAGAGAAAAAAATAGGGAGCCAGTTCTGGAAAAAATGGGTAGCCAGTTCTTGGTAAAAATGGGTAGCCAGTTCTGTGGTGAAATGCATGGAGTTTTATAGACTAGCTTGAAAAGGTGGTGTCTGATTTACATAGGGCACGAAAGATTAGTCAGACCAGGTGTGCCATTTGCATAGCACATGAAGAAGCTGGCCACCCACCCTAATATTTTATTATGCAGATGGGTTCTTTACCTGGCTGGCGCCATGTTGCCTGCTTTTTACTGTACACGTGGTGACAAAGAGAAGGGGAGATGGAGCCTCCACATTGAATGCACCTTTTCTATTGGCACAGCTGCCAGCATTCACCCATGCAAGCTTCCAGCTTCCTTTCCTATGTCTGCAGCTCTATTTTCTGGCTGCTCTTTGTTAGGAAAGAAATGATTTTGAGGCTATGTTTTGTTAAAAGAGAAACCATGCTGAGGACTCTCTTACCCTCACTATCTGCCTAAATAATTTTTTTTTTTTTTTGAGATAGAGTCTTGCCCTGTCACCCAGGCTGGAGTGCAGTGGTGCAATCTTGGCTCACTGCAACCTCTGCCTCCAGGGTTCAAGCAATTCTCCTGCCTCAGCCTCCTGAGTAGCTGGGATTACAGGTGTGCACCACCATGCTTGGCTAATTTTTGTATTTTTAGTAGAGATGGGGTTTTGCCATGTTGGCCAGGCTGGTCTTGAACTCCTGACCTTGTGATCCACCCACCTGGGCCTCCCAAAGTGCTGGGATTACAGGTGTGAGCCACTGCGCCTGGCCTCTGCCTAAATAATTTTTTTAGCTCCTTTATCATATTTCCTCCCTCAGAAGTGGTAACCCTAACTGCTGTTATGGGGCATTGGACAATTACTCTCTCTGGCTACTTCCTGCTGTAAAGGGACACCATGGGGGAACAGCAGCCAGGGCTCCTCCTGGGGTTGATCTAAGGGTCCTCAGAAGAATGACGTGTCCATGTGTGGTTCCGTCTGCAGCACCATTTGGAGTTTAATAGCTTCTAGGAGAGATGAGATAAATTTTACAAGAAGGTTTAGAACATGTTCTAACATAGGGTTTGAATATGAGTATTGAGATTATCATTATTAGTGGGGGTGCTATAGGCAACAACATGACAGTAGAGTTTGTTTGATACCTCCTAGCCATTCCAATGAGTTGTAATACTGGTTTGCCTCCACCAGATGTTGCTGTACTTTACCAGAAATGTTAATATGAAAATAACATTCTTTTTAGGATAAGTGGCATTGGATTGGGTGGCTAGAGTAACTTTAGTGTTAACTTTGGCTAAATTTTCCTTGTAATTATTAATCCTTTTACAACATACACAGACTATCTATAACATGCTTAAACTTTGTAACTTGTCCTAAACATCTCTCTTTTTAAACAACCAGCTATTTTCTTTAGGACAAGAATTTACCGTACAAGATCCTTTCTTATATAAAATCTCTTTTCTTTATAACCTTCTTTGCATAGCTAGGGTCCACAGTTGATATCATAGGAACTAAAAGATTTGACATATTACCAAACCCAATAAAAAGTCCTACCAGACTCAGTAATAGTAAAACCTTCATGGTTACTTCTTGTTGGTAACTATTATCCTTGCTATAAGGATAATAATTAAGCAAAATACTATGGAAATTGAGATTCTTTGTCTGATATTCCACTGTGGGGGTGCTACAGTATATAGTCCTACTGCAAACAGTAGAGTCAGTATAACAATTCCTGTAAGGGTGGTGTAGTAGATAATTTCCATCTAAAATTCTACTTACCAAGATATAGAACTTCCCTTTGGAGGTCTATGAAGTTACACATGTAATCCCATGGATAATCAAAATCTCCCTGCAAATACGCATTAAAAAGAAGTTCTAATATCTGGCGACAAATCTTGAGAGGAAAAGTAGAAATGGCTGAAAGCATCTGGTAAGGTAGAGGTGGGACTGAGTAGGATGAGTAGCCTTCAGTCATTTTCTTAACTTTTATGATTTTTAGCTTAAGATCGCCTATTTCTTCGCATTGATACCCAGGACGTTTCTCTAGGCTGTCAGGGGTTGCTTCCTCAGATTTCCTCAGATTTGTGTCAGAGATTGACTCAAGTGTGATGTATCCAGCAGTTGATACCTGTAACTTTTACAATCAAGGCAGTTGAAAGGAGAATGGTGTAAGAACCTTCCTGGTTTGAGCTTAGGGAGGGAGAAGGAGAAAGGTAAGCTTTTACCAATACCAAATATGGGGCTCCTGCACAGTAACAGCAGTTCGAGTTCCTGGAGCTGGGAGTTTGAGCCCCAGGACCCATCAGTCCTGCTGGACCATTTGTGAGACTGGTTCTCAACTTGGTGACCTCCATCTCCAGGCACAGTCCAATCTCCAGTGGTCCCCAACACAGGTTGGATAGGGGACCACATATAAACAGTGGGCCTGAAACCTGTTTTTATGAATAAAACTTTATTAGAACACAGCCATATTATTTTAATTATACATTGTCTATGGCAGCTTTAGCTCTATAATAACAGAACTGAATAGTTGTGAAATAAACTGTATAACCTGAAACCCTAAAATATTTTCTATTGGTCTTAAAGAAAAATTTGCTGACCTCTGATCCAGGAAATCAACAAAACAATAAGATGATTCATAACATTTGGTGATTTCCGTAGTGTAATCCTCCCACTGTAGCCAACTGCAAGTTACCAATCTGCTCTCACTGAATGCAGAGTTGGGAAGAGATACGCAGTAGATCACCCTTAAATAACATTTCCAATACACATTTACAGTAGATGCAAATGACCTCAAGAGCTAGAACAATTGTAACATGTGGCAAAATAATTAAGAAGTAATGAGTTTTTAGTATGTATCTCTTTTATTTTTAATATTAATTGTAAGCTTATACAATTTAATTTTTAATAATGGCTATGCTTAACAACTGATTTGAAAATTCACAGAACAATTGACTCTCGCAAGCTTGTAGGAGCTGGCTCCAGCACATCACTGCATGTCTGCTTAGAATAATTCTAGTTTCTTTAATGTGTTGTATCCTCTTAACAGAATCTTCGTGAAATATTATGTTTCAGCTTCCACTCACAGCTGTAGCTGGGATTTCCCTCTTTGTTTTTTACATCTACAGATCTCCCTTCTTGAATCTTTAGCTTTTATGTGTAATTTATTGTGATAATTTTCTAGCATTTTATGTCTTTAATGTAGATAGAGGTATTCTCCAAAAGATCTCATGCTGTAATATTGATGGGTCGCCTGATTTCTTGCATTTCTACCACTCATTTCCCACTCTGAAAATTAAATTCCTGTTGTTGCAGAAAATACCTGGTTCTCGTCACACAACCAGGAAAATTTAGGCACACAGACACATTGAAAAGTGAGTAGAACAGGGTTTATTGGGTGAAAAGGAAAAAAAGAAAGAGGAACTCTCAGCAAAGCCAGAGGGAGTCCTCCTAGCAGGCCTCCACCTTACAGATTGAAAACCAGGCGACCACACAGGAAGTGGAGAGGGCAGGCTCCTCCCTTCTGCACAAAGTGGGAACTTCCCATGGCTCCACCCCATGCTCCCAGTGATCACGTGGGTTGGAGATTCTCCAGGGACCCACTCGCTTATCTGCCTCCTGCATCTATCAGTGTTTTATCCCTCACCCTGGAGCTTCATTTATTGAACACTACAGATAGAAGTTACTGGTGTTTTCTGACATGGCCTCATGATTGGTAGCGGGTATTAGGATTTCATGCTTCTATCAAGTTTTGCCCTAACAGCAAGTGGGACATTTTGGGAGGAGGCAAGTAGTTGGAAGTTGGGTTTAAATTTGTATCAGTCAGGTTCCTGGCAGGAAAAGGATGGCAAACTCAAATTTGCTAATTTGAGGAGAGTTTTAATAAAAATTCTATTTACAAAGCTATGAGCATCAGAGTGTAGGCAAACAATAGGGACAGAGACGTAACCTGGGCTAGGGACAGCAGGTAACAGGAGTCCTGTTACACCCTCAAGCCTGAAGAGATGAGGGAAGAGAGTGATGAGAGGGCCTTGGAGTCAGAGAGTGCTGTGTCGAGAGAGTCACCTGACAGCATATGTGACCCTCTGGTTGAATAAAACTGCCAGCCTTCCATGACCTGCCCAGAGACTGAGTGTGGAGAAAATTAGCCCACTTCCTTCCTTTCCTCTGATCCCCTGATTCTGTTCTTCATTGCTCATATCAAACCAGAAGCCAGGAGGTAATCCACACAGGTCAGCTGCTGTTGGGAGCACAGAGCAAGGAAGAGAAGAATGGGAAATAAATATGAAGGACTAAATGGAAGAACTGTGGTTGGGATGGGGGAGCATGGAAACTAGGAGAAAAGTGGTCACAGATTGGAAGGGAAGAATCAGGTGTTGTAAACTCAAATCCATTAGTTGAATGGTTTTTCCTATTTTTGGAAGTTCATAATCAAGAGTGATTTGGGAAGGAAGCTTATCATGCACTGAGTGGACTTCAGGACTATGTATATTAAAATAAAAGTCATGGCTGTTTGTATAAAGTCAAATGTACCCCAATATCCCTTCCCCTTCCCCTTCTTTCCATCGACTTTTATTTTCCTTCTCCTCCTCCTTCTTCTCTCTCTGTCCTGCATATACATCTAAGGTGCAAAGATTTTGAATGACCCTAATGCATTTGCATTCCTCACTGTCATCATTGGTCCAAGCTTAGTTATTTATTTTTTTAATTCTAATTTTAATTTTAATTTTTTTTTTGGAAATGGAGTCTTGCTCAGTCGCCCAGGCTAGAATGCAGTGGCGTGATCTCGGCTCACTGCAACCTCCACCTCTCAGGTTCAAGCAATTCTCCTGCCTCAGTCTCCTGAGTAGCTGGGATTACAGGTGCATGCCACCACACCCTGGTAATTTTTGTATTTTTTTTAGTAAAGACAGGGTTTCACCATGTTGGCCAGGCTGGTCTCAAACTCCTGACCTTAGGTGATTCACCCACCTTGCCTCCCAAAGTGCTGGGATTACAGTTGTGAGCCACTGCACCCGGCTAGTTTATTATTTTTAATTTGTTTTTTGTTTGTTTTCAATAATGTAATAGGCACTGGTGAATCTACCACCTGGCACATAGATGAGAACATAGACAATAACTTTATAATATATTCAAGTCTATTAAGTCAAGCTTACTAATTGTGTTGTTTAGATCTTTTATATCCTACTTTTGCCTTCTTGACTTATAAAGAGCCCAGAAATGTATGTTAAAATATCATACTATAAATGGTAGATTTATTGCTTTCTACCTAAATATTATATTAATTTTGATTCATGTCTTTGAGGATATTTTATTAGATGTACCTATACTTATAGCTGCTATGTTTTTCTTTTCTTTTCTTTTCTTTTCTTTTTTTAGACAAAGTCTGGCTCTATCGCCCAGGCTGGAGTGCAGTGGTGCAATCTCGGCTCACTGCAACCTACGCCTCCTGGACTCAAGCCATCCTCCCACCTCTGCCTCCCAAGTAGCTAGGATTACAGACAACGTACCACCATGCCCAGCTAATTTTTGTTTTTTGCAGAGGCAAGTTTTCGCTATGTTGCCCAGACTGGTCTCGAAATCATAAGCTCAAGCGGTCCACCTGCCTCAGCCTCCCAAAGTGCTGGGATTACAGGTGTGAGCCCCTGTGACCAGTCTATGTTTTCCTTGACTAGGTGAATGTTTATCATTATATGAGTCTTTCTGTCCTACGATATCTTTTTCCTTAAAATTTGTTTTTGACATTAATAAATAAACACCATTTCTTAGAATTAGTTTTTGCATAATATGTCCTTTCTATGTTTTACACTTAATCTCTGAAATGACTTTTATGCTTTAGGTATGTGTCTTGTAAACAGTATAACCTGAATTTATGTTTTTGCATTCAATTTGTCAGTCTCTGTCTTCTGGTCACAAGTTTAGTCTATTTGCATTTACTAAAATTAATGAGATGTATGGACCTTTATATTATAATATTTTTCACTTTAATCTTTCCCATGATTTTACTGACATTTTTATCCTGTTGTCCCATGTCTAGAACCCATTCTAACATGTGTATCAGGCCTGGGTATGCTGCCTGGAAGGTGGATGTATTTTGCCTCCTACTTTGGGATGTGTTTTCAGTCTCTGTTAAGGTTTTGGTTGCTCATTTCTGGCATCCTCCTTCACACAGGAAATACCCAGACTCAGCCATTTGCAGATTTTGAAACATTGTTCTGGTTCTCTGCATATGGCCTGTCTCTGGACTCAACTCAACATCCCATGTCCTCGCTCAGACTATATAACTCTAGACCCAGCCTGTTAATATGGACTGCCTGTCTGCTTGTATTTTCTCAGAGAAACCTCTAAAAGAAATTATCAATTTCTTCGAAACATTAACTTGATAGGTTCTTTTTAAATCAAGTAATCTATTGAAAATTATATGGGTGCTCTAAACTATATCCCCTGGATAATCTAACCTGTAAATAGTTTGAACAGTTATCTTTTACAGCCAGAATAATGATACTAGTTAATACCAGAGGACTAATCTATAGGTAGATCATTTCCAAATTTACTGAGAGCTTAAAAGGAAATATATTTTGTAGGGAAACAAAGCATATTTTTCCAAGATCCAGTCAGTAGTGAAGGCATCTTAATAGTATCCAGGATCCTCACATGTGAAGAAAAGTGAACTAGGTAACAAATGAGAAGACTTACATACGCTTAGTTCTTGCAGGAGGAAAGGAACTATCTGGGTATGGAAAAGGTTACTAGGCAAGATTGTGATTGAAGAGAAAGGATAATGATAAAGGGGCTTTGCAGAAGCTCTGGTTAGAAGAAATAACTAATAGTAATGAATATGTATCTCTCCAACCAATGAGAAGCATATGATGAGGCAGAGTCACTTGTCTCCGGCAGTCCAAGCTACTAAGAAGCACAAATAAAATATATAGTAGCAGGGGGAGATGGGAAGGGTGAGAGAATGTAGGATAAATTACCATTCAAACTGCCAGTAGAAATATAAAATTTTAAGGAATAAATTCCACAAAAAAATACAGTGTTTTAATTACAAAAATTTACCATGCAGCATAAAGACATAAATGATTTAAGAAACATGACATGTTCAGAGACGGGAGTGTAATTTTGGGCTTGTATTTTCAAACAAAATTCATGTGACAATGAGAATTCAAACAGTTTAGATTATTAAAATTAAATTTAATGAAGTTGGTAGCTATATTCTGGTTATGTACAAGAATGTATCCTTTTCTTAGGAAATACTGAAGTACTTAAGGATAAAGAGTTCTGATGAGTGCAATTTCAGAAAAAAAAATATATAAGTACAAAATACTATTCTTATTGCAAGTTTTCTTTAAGCTTACTTTTTTTTTTTTTTTTTGAGCAGAATAGTTGCCCAGGTGCAGTGGCTGACTTATTTATTTTTTTTTAATTTTTTTAATATATATGTTTTATTATACTTTAAGTTCTAGGGTACATGTGCACAACGTGCAGGTTTGTTACATATGTATACATGTGCCATGTTGGTGTGCTGCACCCATTAACTCGTCATTTACATTAAGTATATCTCCTAATGCTATCCCTCCCTCCTTCCCCCTCCCCACAACAGGCCCGCATGTGTGTGATGTTCCCCTTCCTGTGTCCAAGTGTTCTCATTGTTCTTTTTACAAACTAAAATGAAAAAATCTACATGAGGCTATAAAAATATTACCTCTATAAAATAAAAACAAAATGGAATGTAAAAAGAGACTGGACACACCATAATGTGAAGATTCTCCTTTTTTGTGTACTCATATATCCAAAAAGGAAACTTTCCATTTTGTAGTTGGGAAGTAGAACCAAGATGTAGGAGTAGGAGGGGAGTTGAGAACCAACAATTCAGTAAAAATGCTTTCAGTCAATTCCCATCTGTACTCAAAAAAAAAAAAATTTTTTTTTTTGAGACAAAGTCTTGCTCTTGTCCCCCAGGCTGGAGTGCAATGGCTCGATCTTGGCTTACTGCAACCTCCGCCTCCTGGGTTCAAGCGATTCTCCCTCCTCAGCCTCCCGAGTAGCTAGGATTACAGGCACCTGCCACCACGCTTGGCTAATTTTTGTATTTTTAGTAGAGACAGGGTTTCACCATGTGGCCAGGCTGGTCTCGAACTCCTGACCTCAGGTGATCTGCCCTCCTCGGCCTCCCAAAGTGCTGGGTTTACAGGTGTGAGCCACTTCACCTGGCCTCAAAATTTAAATAATTAGGTAACAAACTATGACACAATTATATACAGTCCTTCAAAACAATGTTTTAGAAAGATATTTAATGACAAAATAGAGTTGTTTACCATATGTTAAATTTAAAAGGAGTTACAAATTAGCACATTCACTGTGATCTAAAACCTCTAAATCTGTTTATGTTTTTATTTATATCTACATTTATACCTTTGAAGCCCTCCCAATATCAACTGTCACCCAAGTGACAATAAAAGTGATCTTGTTTTCTTCTGTTCTTGGTTATAATTCTAAGACGGTCTGACAAGTCTATTGTGATTGACTTTAAAAATACAGGTGTTAAATGAAATCTGTATGTGGAACTATTGGTCTCAATGATATATGCAACTCTGGAAGTTGGGTACTCAGCTTTATCTAATCTCTCCCTTTGCTCACCTCCACCAGGCTTGCAATGCCCTCTACAGTCCAGGCAACAGGTACACGGTTTTCAATCCCATTTGAACTGCTTCCGGGTCTCCCTATGTTGCCTAGGCTGGTTTCATACTCCTGAGCTCAAGCAATCCTCCCACCTTGGCCTCTCAAATTGCTCAAGCATCTTCTCTGAACCCAGTGGAATAAAACTGGAAATCAATAAGAAGAGAAATTTGGGAAACTATAAAAATACATGGAAATTAAACAATATGCTCCTGAATGACTAGTGGGTCAATGAAGAAATTAAGAAGGAAATTGAAACATTTATTGAAACAAATGACAATGAAAACAACATATCAAAACCCATGGGATACAGCAAAAGGAGTAATAAGAAGGAAGTTTATAGCTATTAAGTGCCTACGTCAGAAAAGGAGAAACTTTAAATTAGCAATCTAATGATGCATCTTAAAAACTAGAAAAGCAAGACGGGAACCAAAGCAAAAATTAGTTGAAGAAAAGAAAAAGTAAAGATCAGAGTGGAAATAAATGAAACTGAAAAAAATACAAAAGATCTATGAAACAAAAATTTGCTTTTTTGAAAAGTTAAACAAAATTGACAAAACTTTAGCCAGATGAACTAAGAAAAAAGGAGAGAAGATACAGATAAATAAAATCATAAATGGAAAAGGAGACATTACAACTGATACTGCAGAAATTCAAAGGATCATTAGTGGCTGCTATGAGAAACTATATGCTATAAATTGAAAAATCTAGAAGAAATGGACAAATTCCTAGACACATGCAACCTACCAAGATTAAAATAGGAAATAAGTCAAAACCTAAAAAGATCAATAACAAGTAACAAGATCAAAGTCACAATAAACAGTCTACCAGTAAATAAATTCCAGGACCTGATGACTTCACTGCTGAATTCTACCAAACATTCAAAGAAGAACTAATACCAATCCTACTCAAATTATTCCAAAAAATAGAGGAGGAGGGAATACTTCTACAAGTATTTTATGAGGGAATACTTCTAAACTCATTCTATGAGACCAGTATTACCCTGATACCAAAACCAGACAAAGACACATTAAAAAAAAAAACACTGTAGGCCAATATCTCTGATGAATATTAATGCAAAAATCCTCAACAAAATATTAGTAAACTGAATTAAACAATACATCAGAAGGTTCATTCATCACAATCAAGTGGGATTTATTGCTGGGATGCAAGGATGGTTCAACATACACAAATTAATGTGAGACATCACATCAACACAATGAAGATAAAAATAAAATGATCATTTTAATTGATGCTGAAAAAAGCATTTGATAAAATTTAACATCGCTTCATGTGAAAAATTCTCAAAAACTGGGGATATAAAGAACATACTTCAACATAATAAAAGCCATATATGACAGACCCACAGCTAGTATCATACTGAATGGGGAAAAACTGAAAGTCTTTTTTCTAAGATCTGGAACATGACAAGGATGCCACTGTCACCACTGTTATTCAACATAGTACTGGAAGTCCTAGCTAGAGCAATTAGACAAGAGAAAGATATAAATGGCATCCAAATTTAAAAGGAAGAAGTCAAATTATCCTTGTTTGCAGAGGATATGATCTTATATTTATAAAAACTTAAAGACTCCACAAGAATACTATTAGAACTGATAAATTCAATAAAGTTCCAGGATATAAAATCAGTAGAATTTCTATATGCCAATAGTGAACAATGTGAAAAAGAAATTTAAAAAGTAATTCTATTTAAAATAGCCACACAAAAATGAAATACCTAGGAATTAACTTGACCAAGGAAGTGAAAAATCTCTATAATAAAAGAAACTGAGGAGGACAAAAAAAGGAAACATGTTCCATGTTCTTGGCTTGGAAGAATCAATAGTGTTAAAATGTCCATACTACCCAAAGCAATCTACAGATTCAACGCAATCACTGTCAAACAACCAATGACATTTCTCACGGAAATGGAAAAAAAAATCTTAAAATTTGTATGGAACCACAAGACTCAGAATAGCTAAAGCCATCCTAAGCAGAAAGAATAAAACTAGAAGAATCACATTACTGACTTCAAATTATGCTACAGAGCTATGGTAACCAAAACAGCATGGTACTGGCATAAAAACAGATGTATAGACCAGTGGAACAGACTAGAGAACCCAGAAGCAAATCCACACACCTACAGTGAACTCATTTTTGACAAAAGTGCCAAAAATGGCCATCAGAGAAATGCAAGTCAAAACCACAATGAGATACCATCTCACACCAGTTAGAATGGCGATCATTAAAAAGTCAGGAAACAACAGGTGCTGGAGAGGATGTGGAGAAATAGGAACACTTTTACACTGTTGGTGGGACTGTAAACTAGTTCAACCATTGTGGAAGTCAGTCTGGCGATTCCTCAGGGATCTAGAACTAGAAATACCATTTGACCCAGCCATCCCATTACTGGGCATATACCCAAAGGATTATAAATTGTGCTGCTATAATGACACATGCACACATATGTTTATTGTGGCACTATTCACAATAGCAAAGACTTGGAACCAAGCCAAATGTCCAACAACGATAGACTGGATTAAGAAAATGTGGCATATATACACCATGGAATACTATACAGCCATAAAAAATGATGAGTTCATGTCCTTTGTAGGGACATGGATGAAACTGGAAACCATCATTCTCAGCAAACTATCGCAAGGACAAAAAACCAAACACTGCATGTTCTTACTCATAGGTGGGAATTGAACAAAGAAAACACATGGACACAGGAAGGGGAACATCACACTCCGGGGACTGTTGTGTGGTGGAGGGAGCGGGGAGGGATAGCATTAGTAGATATACCTAATGCTAAATGATGAGTTAATGGGTGCAGCACACCAACATAGCACATGTATACATATGTAACAAACCTGCACATTGTGCACATGTACCCTAAAATTTAAAGTATAATAATAATAAAATAAAATAAAATAAAAAGAAACTACAGACAATTTCAAAATGAAAAAAAAAAGTGCCAAAAACATACACTGGGGAAAAGACAGTCTCTGCAATAAGTGGTGCTGGGAAAACTGGATATTCATATGCGGAAGAATAAAACTAGATTCCTTTCTCTCATCATATACAAAAATCAAATCAAAGTGGATTAGGGACTTAAATCTAAGACTTCAAACCGTGAAACTACTACAAGAAAACATTAGGGAAAATCTCCAGGACATTGGTCTTGGCAAAAATTTCCTGAGTGATACCCTACAAACACAACCAACCAAAGCACAAATGGACAAATGGGATTACATCAAGTTAAAAAGCTTCTGAACACAAAGGATACAATCAACAAAGTGAAGAGACAACCCACAGAATGGAAGAAAATATCTCCAAACTACCCATCTGACAAGGGATGAATAACCAGAATATATAAGGATTCAAACAACTCTATAGGAAAAAACTAATAATCCAATCAAAAGTTGGGCAAAAGATTTGAATAGATGTTTCTCAAGACATACAAATAAGACATACAAATGACAAACAGGCATATGAAAAAGTGCTCAACATCATTGATCATCAGAAAAATGCAAATCAAAACTACAATGAGGTATCATCTCACTCCAGTTAAAAATGGCTGATATCCAAAAGACAGGCAATAACAAATGCTGGGAAGGATGTGAAATAAAGAACACTTGGACACTATTGGTGGGAATGTAAATTAGTACAACTACTATGGAGAACAGTTTGGAGGTTCTTCAAAAAACTAAAAATTGAGCTCTCATATGATCCAGCAATCCCACTGCTGGGTATATACTGAAGAGAAAAAAAAAGTCAGTATATCAAAGTATCCATCAACAGTTGAATGGATAAAGAAAATGTGGCACATATACATAATGGAGTACTATTCAGCCATAAAAAAGAATGAGATCCAGTCATTTGCAGCAACCGGCATGGCAGTTCCATAAGTGAAATAAGCTAGGCACAGAAAGACAAACATCACATGTTCTTAGTTATTTGTAGGATCTAAAAATTAAAATGATTGGATTTATGAACATAGAGAGTAGAAGGATGATTACCAGAGGTTGGAAAGGTAGTGGGGGATCAGGGAGGGAGGGATATGGGGATGGTTGATGGGAAAAAATTGGAAAGAATGAACAAGATCTACTATTTGATAGCAAAACAGGACGACTATAGTAAATAGTAACTATACATTTAAAATAACTTCAAGAGTGTAACTGGATTGTTTGCAACTCAATGGATAAATGCTTGAGGGTATGGATGCCCATTCTTCATGATTTACTGGTTTCACATTGCATCCTTTTTTTCAAAACATCTCATGTACCTCATAAATATATACACTTACTATGTGCCCACAAATATTAGTAATAAACACAATTTAAACAAATTAGAGCCCACACATCCCATACACATACTTCCCATATTAAAGCCCAAACATCTCATATAAACACTTTATTATTTGAAATTCTTGGCCATGGAATATCGTATACTTTCATTTAATTTCTTCACCAACTCTATCCAAAAACAAAAAAAAACCCTTCAATCCCCATATGCACAGATCTTTGTTAGTCATATCTGCTCATGGACTCAACAAACAGTAATTGAGTCCACTGACTGCATTTCGGAAATCCACACTCATGATCTTCATCTGTATGTTAAATAAATCAGAGCCATCGTGAGAGCATGTCATCATGGGGAACACAAGTGGCTGAGTTAGATTCATCAAAAAGATAAAATTTGTTATCATAACAAAGGGCTAACTCACAGAAGCCAAAGAAGATATGTAAAAGGATTGATCTAAGGATAGTACACTGTGTGTTATACAAGAAATCCTCTGTGTATTTCTTATCTCTAATTTTCTCTGCCTGTCATCTTCATTATTTTCTATATCTCTGCTTTCAGATTCACATAGTACAAAATGGTCCCTGCCAAGATGTTCTCAATTCATCTCTCCTTTGCCCTAGGGCTTCTTTTCCTAGACCAGTCAGTTGCTTACTGTACACCAGTAAAGTGTTGCCAGGGGATGAGTTCACATTACAGTACATGAACATAGCTACTCCTGATGTGAGCTTATGGAGGGGATGAGGGAGTGGTGCAGGTGATACACAAAGGATCTGCTGGTCTGCACATCAGACTCAATATTCTCTACTACAAGGAGACAGGATATAAGCCCAGTCCACCTGCTTCGTTCTTTGACAGTACATTTCATTCAAAATAAGTACAAGTGCAAAAATCTGTGGTAGTAAATCTACTGCACTTTTCTTATGTCTGACACTAATAACCCAAGAAAAACTATAATAAAATATTTCTGATTTTGAAATTAGCCTGCCACAGTTTGCATGGAAATTTACTACTGGTAAGCCCTTGTTTCTCTATCCCCTTACTCAGCTTTCTTCGTTTGTATCTTCATAGCAAGAATCACCACCTAATACTGCATATCTGTTTATTATGTGATTATTTTTTCTTTCCTGCTAGAATTAAAACTCATAAAGGTAGGGACATTTTTACCTTGCTGACTATTTTATCTGGAATAGTACATAGCACTTAGTAGGAGCTAAATAATTATTTGACAAATGAATGGATACATTAATTGATGAATTTGATGTCCAAATCTAGGCTGCTTTTGTTTACATAAACCTCTGTTTTCCACTAGTCACATTCTCTGCCTGCTACATGGAGAGGACCATTATTCGGGATTTCAGTTCTGCTCTAAACACTTGGATCCTTTCGCAATCAGGGATCTTCAATTTCTCCACTTGGTGTTTTGCTCAACAAATGAAAGTGCCTTTGAATATTCACACTTGGTCTTCCAAAACCACATCAGCTTTTAGAACAATGTTTCTAGACAATTTATTAGTAACCCTTCAAAGGTGTGCTCCCCAATTTTTGTGAATGTGTAATTATATTTAAACTGAAATGACATAATGTTTCTGTGTCAAATATTGTAGAGAAAGTTGACCATCTTTGCATACGCTATTTGCCATTTGAGTTCTTCTGTGAATTGCCTGTTCACCTACTTTCCAACATTGCTATTAGGTTATTTAACTCTTTCTTATTGATTTGAGTAGTACTTTATTTCTTCCCTTGTGTAATATATGTATTTAAAGTATCTAAATATATTTCATGACTATGTTGTCCAACTTTTGTAATACATATCAACAAATATCTACCTGTTATATCCATTTTTAAGAAATACATAAAATGTAATAACTTGTACTTTTCTCACCCTTCTTTGCTTTTCTAAACAGTATTTATGTATTTCAACTTTTTAAAGTTTAAATATAATATACTTAAGTGTAGGTTGTTTTTGTTTTTTTAATCCTGCTTGGTATTCTCCTAGATTTGTAATCGGTGATTCGTTGTCTGTCATTAATTTTGGCAAGTTCTCACCTGGCTTCTACAACATCAGACTCTTGCGGCTTCCTCAGCACCCAGCTTTTGCAGTGTAGAGCAGCCAGCAACGCCCAGCAGCTTCGTCAGGCATGCACACCCCCTTTAGCAGTTTTACAGCAGAGAGTGACCACCACCACCCCACTTCCATGAACCTTACAGGAACAGCTTTCCCCAACACCCTAGAGGAAGGATTTCTGACAAGTCCCAGAGGGTGGATTACAGCAAACTACCGCTGGAGCAGCAGTTCAACAACTACCTCTCTGCCATTCAGTGAGCCATGGAAGTGCCTCCCTAACAAGGTCTGACCTCACCCTTGGAAAGAAAACTGGAGAAGGCTCCTTCTTGGGTACTCTATCTTAACCTAGGTGATGGGTTAATATCGAGTGTCAACTTGATTGAATTGAAAGATGCAAAGTATTGTTCCTGGGTGTGTCTGTGAGGGTGTTGCCAAAGGAGATTAACATTTGAGTCAGTGGACTGGGAGAAGCAAGACCCACCCTCAATCTGGGTGGGCACCATCTAATCAGCTGCCAGCACCACTAGGATAAAAGCAGGCAGAGGACCGTAGAAGGACTAGACTAGCGGTCTTCCACCCTTCATTTTTCTCCCTTGCCAGGGGCTCTGAGACCTTCAACCACAGACTGAAGGCTGCACTGTCAGCTTCCCTACTTTTGAGGTTTTGGGACTCGGACTGGCTTCCTTGCTCCTCAGATTGCAGACGGTCTATTGTGGGACTTCACCTTGTGATCATGTGAGTCAACACGCTTTAATAAACTCCCCTTTATACATACATCTATCATATTAGTTCTATCCCTCTAGATAACCCTGACTAATACACTAGGGAAGTAGCCATTTCGTATTATATTATATTATGCACTATTATATCTGCCACTGCTATATTATTTAGAGTTCTCTTTACTTCTTTCTAGCCAATCTCTTATTACTCAGATCTCTTGTTAAGATTCGTATTTCTTTATATTGATCTTTCTCATTTTACATTACTGTGTGATTTCCTCTCTCTCCTGACTAGACCCATACTTATAAACCCATTAAATTTCATTCAGGCATGAATCTAGAATAAAAATTATTCTCAGACATGCAAAGATTAGAAAAATTTGCTTCCAGAATATCCTTTTTTGGATATTAACAGACGGTGTGTCGTAGCAAAATTAGGTAGTCAAAGCAAGTAAGAGGAAGATATCAGATACCTGAAACATTATCTTCTACCAAAGAAAACAATGAAGAGAATCCCAAGATGACATCTGCTCAGCAGTCCTGGAAATCATTTCTTTTAGATTGAAACTAGAGAACTAAGGGCACCAGGAAGTGGATAAACATGATAAGTATGATCCCATAAATTTTACAGTATTGTTGAGATATTCAAAACATCTGAGGATATGATTAAAAAGTAGACTACATATATGAGGGAAAAGAAATTGCAAATAGAACCTTCATAAAAATTAAAAGATGCCCAACAAAGGAAATATATTCTCAATAATGAGCACATACGTGTTTAAAAAATACCTGGTTACAAACAAACCATAAATACTATCGGGTTTGAAAATATTAAAGATAAATTATAAATGCCAGAAGTTGGGATATGAAATAAGGAAAAAAGTAGAGCAGGAAAGAATAGGGTTAGCAGTAGCTTCATCTACAAGGAGAAAACTCAAGAGATCTTGAATATAACTGACAGAATAATAGAGTACTGTGTTTAAAAATACAGGGATTGGCCGGGCGCGGTGGCTCACGCCTGTAATCCCAGCACTTTGGGAGGCCAAGGCGGGCGGATCACGAGGTCAGGAGATCAAGACCATCCTGGTTAACACGGTGAAACCCCATCTCTACTAAAAATACAAAAAAAAAATTAGCCGGGTGTGGTGGCGGGCGCCTGTAGTCCCAGCTACTCAGGAGGCTGAGGCAGGAGAATGGCGTGAACCCGGGAGGCGGAGCTTGCAGTGAGCCAGTCGCGCCACTGCCCTCCAGCCTGGGGGACAGAGCGAGACTCTGTCTCAAAAATAAATAAATAAATAAATAAATAAAAAATAAAAAATGCAGGGATTACCTACGGAGGAACTAAACATAGTAAGATAATAAAATCACAAGAAAGATGTCAGAGACCTAATTTTTGGTGGTTTAAATTATCTGGTTTCATAACAGGAAGTCAATGGATGTCTAAATTAATACCCCCACATACAAAAACATACGCATATTACTGTTAAAGTCATTGAACTGGGGATAATGACAGTGGAGGAAAGGAATGGCGTGAAGGGCTCTTGTTTTCATTAAAATACATCTCTATTGTTTAATCTTCAAACTATATACTGATATCCCAATACATTTAAAATAGTAATTGTAAAGTAAAATATCATTCTTACTGAAATATCAAGAATGCTGCAGATGGTGGCGGAATGTTCAATGTGAAAAAGGATAGTGGCTTGCACTAGAATGACAGCAGTGAAGTTTGTTTTAAGCATGTAATTTTATAGTACCAATCTCTTACCTGTGAGAGCATGTAAAAGACTGAGCTCCTCAGTTCTCAAACAAAAGCAGACTTTAACTCCTGCTCCAGCCATGCTTCTTTGCTTCTCAAACATCCAAAACTGCATCTCAGATTGCATCATATTCTGAACACATGGAAGGACGAGTACGGGAAATAAGAGTGGCTGTGTTACCACCCTCAAGGAATCCTGACCCCTCAAATCCAGACCTGCCAAGGGGCAAGGAAAAAAGGGAAAGCGGCAGCTCCCTTGAATTTCTAAAGTGCAATGTCCCCACCTACTGGTGAACATGACCCAGTTAACATCCCTACAGCTGTCCATGTCCTCCTAAAACAAGAACCTTGAACTTCTTCCAGTAGTATAGAATCCGTGTCCTTTAGCACAGTTCTACACCAAAAGATAAACAAAATATTAATCCAAAATTTTTACAATGCAATGAGGGTGTGGGAATGATAATTTTAAAATATGCCGCACAAGGTTAGTTTTAAAATAACGCCATCGTTAGCATTCCGTTTCCCTAGTATCTATCTACTCCTCACAGCTTCTGCTCAGATTGTCTTCTCTCCATTGTCTCTTCCATCTCCCTGTACAAACCTCCTCTCTTACACTGCCTTTCCTGCCAACACACTGCTTCCCCATGTGTTAAGTTGGCAGCCTTTTTTCCCTCTCATTGTTTTCTGGCTTCTGATATTTGAGATAAGAAATTTGATTCCAGTCTGGTTCTCGTCCTTTTATGTGTAAACTGTTTATTTCCTTCTTGGAAGCCAATAGATCATTTTTATTACCATTTTATTTTCTGATTGTGTAGTAAAAATTTTCATCCCTACAGCTACAGAACTATTTGTATATTTTCATGATTCCACTTGATTCCTTTAAATTGCATGAATCTTATCTAGCCAGAGACTAAAGTCTTCCTTTCCTTCAGAAAAAAAAAAACTTTGATTTTTTATTGTATCCTATATTTTTTCTATTTTTCCGGCACACCTATTATACAGCAGTTGGAGATGGCTGTATAGATAGAACTTTCTCAACATATTTTCACAATTTTATGTGTTCCAAGGTAGTTAAAACAGGAATCTGATTTCTTTTGTACTTTCTTTCCCACCCTCCTATTTTTTTAAGACTCAGAACCACTACTTGAACACTCTAATTGATAACTGCTTAGTTATTTCTCACCTGCCTTAAAGAGTGTTTCTTCATTATGCTCAAGAATGAGAGCAATTTAAAATGAAATCATTTTAACCTGTCTCCTCAGAGACAAGTTCTGTTGGCTTCTTTTTTTCCTATGTATTATGTGTTGGTAAAATTTTCCAGTTTCTTTGCATGTCTTGTAATTTTTGTTTAATATTGATATTTTACATAAATTCTGATTCCACAATCCCTAGGAGTAAGTGCTCTTGCTGTTTGTTGTTTGTGTTAGTGACTTGCTTGGGCTAGTTCTTCCAAGTCTGTTTCCCCCTAGTATGCAGCCTATGGTGTCTCTGCTAAGTTTGTTTAATAATTTTTGTTTTCATTATTAAGCCTGATTTCCTACAATCACCCCTGGTCATCATAGCTTAATGTCAGCCTATGACTGATGAAAGATTCTGCTTAAACAATTGAGTCAGTAAGGCTTCCACACTTTGCCATTGAACTGAGTGGGATGTGGGAAATGCTTTCAAAGTTCCGGGACTTTACAGGTATGTCCCAATTTTTACTTTCTGCCTTCACATGTCCTTATATTCAGCCAGGTGTCTCCTGAGCAGGCTTAATCAAGCTGATGCAGACAGCTTTCCACACCACTGGGGATAAATGAGATTTTAGCAAGGCTATTTTTGACTATCTCATTCTCTGGATCTCCCTGGTAAAATTCCTGACTGGCCTGCCATCATGACTTCAAGCTAGTTGAGATGTTAGCCTTCCATAATTATTTGCCCTGAGGTCTATGCTGTTTTCTACAAAACGCCAAGACGTTATTTTGAGGGTGTGTGTGTGTGTGTGTGTGCATGCATGTGCGTGAGCTCTTTTCCAAAAAATGTGTGTGAGCTCCCTCTGGCAGGTTAAGAAGAGCTGTTTAATCCCATGGCCTGTCCTCCCACACAGGTAGAAATTCTGCACCATAAGTTGGGGTGAAGGAAGTTGGTGAAAGCATACTCTGGCCAAAATAATACTGATTTTGCTGTTTTTATTAGGATTCAGTTTAGATTCTCTTAACTAAATGCTTCTCAATGTTCGTATCCTTTGGTCAATTTCCAGAGTCTTTAAATGATTGTTTTTGGCAACTTTGTCCAATGTTCTCACTGCTTTTTAGATTCGTTGAAATGTTTTGATGTCAATATATGTGGTATATTTTTATGTATTTTCTACGTGAATTTGAAAATAAGCTGTATATAGCATTTGGTACATACACACTTAGGATTATATGTCTTTTTGATGTATTGACTCTTTTTCATTATGAAAAATTTATCTCCAGTAATATTCCTTATTTGTAAAGTTTTCTTTGTCTGATATTAATGTAGCCACTCCAGCTTTCTTGCCCAGTGTATATTTTTTCATCCTTATATTTTTAACCTGTGTCTTCATACTTAAAATGCATTTCTTATGGACAGTGTATGGTCAAAAGTCTTGCTTATTTATCCAGTTTAGAAATATGCATTTAATGTAATTACTGAAGTACTGGATTTAAGTCTACCCCCTTGCTGCTTTTTGTTTTTGGCCCATCTGTTCTTTTTCTCTTATTCCTCTTTACTTGCCTTTCTTAGTATATTTTTCTCCCTCCTAATGGTAACTGAGTAGAAAGATGTCAGAACTTAGGTCTTTAAGATTTGTGGAAATTTAAAACAATTTTTATTTTATTTTATTTTAGGCAGAGTCTTGCTCTGTTGCCCAAACTGGAGTGCAGTGGCGCACTATTTGTAGAACTTGAGTGGAAAATCCTAAATAAGAATACCACAGAGGAGAGCCCAAAATTCTGCATTTGAAAGAAATTTGCATGCAGAATAGGGGCCCCTCTTTGAGTTTTCATGTTTTTTGGGGATTTTTCTCCTCAATAGCAACTAATTCTTTCGGCACCAAACTCCAACCTCCGTCTTCTCTTCCTGGTAAGACTGCATCTTTCTGCTTGAGCTTTGTTCTACCATCTACTGCTTTAGACTGAAAAGCACTCTCAGGGGAAACTCACAGTAAACGTTGAACTCACCTAGTTACTTTCCTTTTCTCAATATTTATCTCCTGATGTATTCTGCATGCTTCAAAAGATCTCCAATGATTGCAAATTTTTAAGTCATTTTTATAGATTTCATAATTTTTGTTTCTAGAAAGGCTAGACGTAGACATATGGTTTTTAATATAAGTAAGTAGCTATAGAAATAAATGTATAGATGTTTATGTGTATGTCCACAAATAGGATCTTAGACTTTTGACATTCCCATAGCAATGAGCACACTTAACACACAGATCTTGATCTAGCTTTTTAACCAGACTCTTCTAAAAGAACCCAGAGCTATGACAGATTCTAGAGCTTGAGAAAAAAAATAAAAGATGATCATAGAAAGTAAGGATATTTAAGAATGGTGGATACGGCCGGGCGCGGTGGCTCATGCCTGTAATCCCAGCACTTTGGGAGGCCGAGGCAGGCGGATCACGAGGTCAGGAGATCGACAACATCCTGGCTAACACGGTGAAACCCCGCCTCTACTAAAAAATACAAAAAAAAAAATTGCCGGGCGTGGTAGCGGGCGCCTGTAGTCCCAGCTACTTGGGAGGCTGAGGCAGGACAATGGGGTGAACCCGGAAGGCGGAGCTTGCCGTGAGCCGAGATCGCGCCACTGCACTCCAGCCTGGGCGACAGAGGCGAGACTCCGTCTCAAAAAAAAAAAAAAAAAAAAAAAAAAAGAATGATGGATACGTGTCAGGTGTCAGAGATAAGAATATGTTCAAAGAATGGTAGATACATGCTCTTTACACAGATAGGCAAAAAATAACCAGAAGAAAGAATGCATACCACAAATACCTAAATCACAATAAATTCAGTATGATCATATTAATAACAAAAAAAAATCTTCATTAAAAATATGTTTTACCAGGAATAAAAATAAAACGAGTCATAATGATGGAAAAACCATAAGAAGAACATAACTTTTCTAAATATGTATGCATCTAATAATATGACTTAAAAATAAATGATACAAAAATTGACAGAAATGAAAATATAGATAAATTTGCAATCGTAATTAGAGATTTTTAAATGCTTCTCTCAATAATTGGTAAAAGAAATGAACAAAAAATCAGGAAAATATATTAAACAGTGGAATAGCACTAATAATTAAATCAACCTAACTGACACTTATAAGACATTAGACTAGAATATGCAATGGCAAAATACATATTATTTCAGGTGTACATGAAATATCCATCAAGATGAACAACATACTGGATCATAAATTTAGTCTCAAGAAATTCAACAGTATGCAAACTGGGTAGGGTATGTTCTCTGACCAAAAAAGATAAAAATAAAAATACCTCAACTAAATTAGAAAGCAGCACCAAACTGATAACCTGGAAATCCCCTAAATATACAGAAATTAATCAACATACTACCAAATAAGCCATAGGTCTAAGAGGAAATTACAAAGAAAATTAGAGAATATTTTAAGTGAATGATCATGAAGTTCATTATATCAAAATGTATGAGATAAAGCTGAAAGAGTGCTTGAAGGGAAATTAGTTTCTTTAAATGTATACATCAGAACTGAAGAGAAGTTTAAAATCAATGGTGTGAGCTTCTACCTTAAGAAGGTAGAAAAAGGAAAGCAAACTAAATCTAAAGAAGATAGAAGGTAGAAAGAAGGAATTAAAAAGCAAAGATGTGGAACCAACCCAAATGCCCATCAGTGATAGACTGGATAAAGAAAATGTGGCACATATTCACCATGGAATACTATGCAGCCATAAAAAAGAATGAGTTCATGTCCTTTGCAGGGACATGGACGAAGCTGGAAACCATCATCCTCAGCAAACTAACACAGGAACAGAAAATGAAACACCGCGTGTTCTCACTCATAAGTGGGAGTTGAACAATGAGAGTACATATCCAAGTCTCACATGTCTCAACAATGAGAACACACAAGGAGGGGAACATCACAAACCGGGGCCAGTTGGGGAGTGGAGGGAAAGAAAAGGGTGAGCATTGGACAAATACCTAATGCATGCAGGTCTTAAAACCCAGATGATGGATTGACTGGTGCAGCAAACCACCATAGCGCATGTATACCTATGTAACAAACCTGCATGTTGAGCACATGTATCCCAGAACTTAAAGTAAAATAAATAAAAAAAAGAAATGATTAAATGTGGCAAAGACAAATAAAAGAAAGAAGGAATTAATAAAAATGAAACCAGACAACAATGAAACAGAAAACCAGCAAACAGAAAAATTAACAAAGCTGGGCTGGGTGTGGTGGCTCACACCTGTAATCCCAGCACTTTGGGAGGATGAAGAGGGACGATCATTTGAAGCAATTCTCCTGCTTCAGCCTTCCCAAGTAGCTGGGATTATAGGCATGCGCCAACATGCCCGGCTAATTTTGTATTTTTAGTAGAGATGGGGTTTCTCCATGTTGGTCAGGCTGGTCTCGAACTCCCGACCTCAGGTGATCTGCCCACCTTGGCCTCCCAAAGTGCTGGGATTACAGGGATGAGCCACCATGCCGGGCTTAAAATGAAATTTTAATTGGCAAGAAGGCAGATGGTGAGAATTGTTGATCCAATAATAACATGAAGTCCATGAAAGCCTGTGGCTACAAAGAATGTTGAGCCATAGATTCCATCAGAGATAATAAAGGGGGCCTCGAAATATTCTGAGACTTGTAGAAGAGTGAAATAGACTCCTAAGAGGATCGTGATAAGTACTGCTTGAATTATTTGTTTTTGGTTACCTTCTATTAGGCTGTGGTGGGCTCAAGTAATTGAAACTCCTGATGCAAGTAATACAGACGTATTTAGGAGAGATACTTCTAAAGGGTTCAGGGGAAGAATACCTGTTGGGGGTCAATGTCCTCCTAATTCTGGGGTCGGTGCTAAACTGGAGTGATAAAATGCCCAGAAAAAAACCAGCGAAGAAGAATACTTTTGAGATAATAAATAGAAGCATCCCGTATCAGAGGTCTTTTAGGACAATTGTTGTGTGGTGGCCTTGTAATACACTTTCTCGGACAACATCACGTCATCACTGATGTATAGTCAGTGTGTTGGTTAGTAGGCCTAAAGTTAAAAGAGTGGTAGAATTAAAGTGAAATCATATGGCCAGGCCAGATGTTATTAGGAGAGCCGAGAGAGCTCCTGTTAGTGGTCAAGGGCTAGGTACAGCTATATGGTAGGCATGAGTTTGGCGGGTCATTATGTATTATCATGCAAATAAAGACTTACTAATAGTGTGAAGACATAAGCTTGAATAAGAGCGACAGCGAACTCGAGAATAGTTAGTAGAATTAGAATAATAAGAGATACTGAAGTTGCAGAGACACTAATAATTGATAATATTAGCACTGCACTGCGACTGTGGTCGGCGATTATCCCACTTCCAGGGCCAATCAGGCTAACAAATTATTTCAAACCTATTACAACTCCCTACAATGCTTCAAGCCCCAAGGCACCCCCGTTGGAGGGCCTATAACTAAACACTCCCTCCTTTTACAATAAGCCTCACTTTGCTTTTCAGCCTCTGAAGGAAATTTCCCTGTAGGATCCTTCACACCTAACCAATGCAACCGCACTATCATTATTAAACACCCCTCTAACCATCAGACTAACCAAGCTGACTACCAAGTATCACCTGAAGCAAATGGAATGTTTCTGCATCTGGCTTGTTTTACAGCCTATCCCCTAACCAATGCCTCTGAACTAACTTGTGCTGTCCCTGGTTCCCACCTTTTTCCATGGCTCAATGTCAATGATGCAACATCTGATCACATTAAACGTGTAAAAAATAACTCTTGCTATATCTCTACTATAGTGGATGTCTCTCTGGCCTCCTCCTTGTCCATCTGGAGTAATGAACCGCAGGAAAGAAACAACATCCAATTTTTAACACACTTATTCTCTTTCCATATCTCTGCCTGTATTTACGACAAAGGCTTGTTCTTTTTGTGTGGCACCAACACATATCTTTGTCTCCCCACCAACCGGACCGGAACCTGTTCTCTAGTTTATCTTTCCCCTTCCATTGGACTAGTTCCTCCTCATCAACCTTTGTCTATCCCATCCACCCAATATGTTAGGAAAAGGAGAGCCATCCACATCATTCCTTAATGGCCGCCTTGGGTATAAGCTCTGGACTTAGAGAGGGAGCAGGTGGATTAGCCACATACTTTAAGGTTCTTTCAACAGAACTACAGGGATCTCTAGAAGATATAGCCTGAAGCCTTGTAAGAGTCCAAGACCAACTAGACTCCTTAGCTGGTGCAGTCCTCCAGAACAGACAGAGACTAGATCTTATAATGGTTGAAAAAGAGGGCATCTGCCTCTCACTGGGTGAGGAAAGTTGTTTCTGTCTCAACCAGTCGGGCCCAGTAAGAGGTGCTGCCGAAAAACTTAAAGAAAGGGCTAAAAAGCTAAGGGAATACCAACACAGTCAAATAGATTCTTGGTTTGGGAACAAAATCATAGCATGAGTCACCCCATTCCTGGGCCCTCTCCTAATGATATGCCTAGGACTAGTGTTCTTACCCTGCCTAATTAATCTTTTTCAAAGATTTTTAACCAACAGGATCATGGCCATTTCACAGACAACTACCCAAAAACATCTACAGATGGCATTACTCCTACAGTCAATCCGAGACCAGAAAACTCTCCACACTCCTCTCAGCAGGAATTAGCCAGAAAGAACACACCGTCCTCATCCTTTTATAACTATAGGATCTGGATTGACAGAGCAGGAGCATTGCCATCTTGGACAAGCACCACCATTTTAAAGTTCCCCTTGATCAAAAGCCACCTAAATCCAACCCAAAGGGCATCAGCCTAATGGCTAATGGCAGCATGACCTTAAACCACAAATGATACCTCTGACCAGAAACATTCCAACCCTGAGATAAACCCCTCTCCAACCAGAGACACACCAGCCCCAAGATAACCTCCCCTCTGACCGGAGAGATGCCAACCCCAAGATAACCTCCCCTCCAACCAGAGACATTCCAACCCCACAATAAAGTTCTCCTCCACACAGAAACATTCAAGCCTTTTGCCCCAAACCCTTAAATACTCTTAGTCTGTAAGAGAGAGGGCTCCTGACTGAAATCAGACAGCAGCCCTCTCAGGTTTATTCTCCAAAATAAACCTGTCTTTGACTGTTGAGCCACTTTTTGTGTTTCTTTCCTCTTTCTTTAACTCTTACAATAACACTGTGTGTATCACTATTTGGATTAACATAAATGAGAAAGGAGAGATAGAGACCGTGAACTAGGAAAATGGATGTGCATCATTTGGTGGAAGTATAAACACAATCTAAATTTACTCCATGCTCAAGCTCATAAATTATGATTATTGACAACATTATAATTTAGGTTGTTTTTATTTTGTGGAACTTTGTAGATTAACTAAGATTTCATTAATATAGTATTTTATATTTACATGCAATGTAATCCTTTAGTAACCACAAAGTAGGTTGTTGAGAGGACCCACGATGTCATACATATAAAACACTTAGACTATTTTATGACATACATAGGCCTCAAATAAATGTTATCTAAGGGTATGACTTATATAATCTGTACTTGGGACTCCAGTTTCAATGCCCAAACTCTGGGAACCAAGTGTGGTCTACACTGAACATCATTTTTGCTTAAACTTGTTAGTCTTATACATCTTTACACCAATTCTAAGCATTAACGCTGCTTTCTTTTTCTTTCTTTTCTTCCTTTCTTTCTTTCTCTCTCTCTCTCTCTCTCTCTTTCTTTCTTCCTTCCTTCTTTCCTTAATTGTGGGAAAATAGAAATAAACTAAAACTCATCATTTTCACCTTTTTAAGTGTACAGTTCAGTGGCATTAAATACATTCACACTGTTGTACACAATAACCACCACAGATCTCCAGAACTTTTCCTCATCCCAAACTGGAACTCTGTAACCATAAACAACTCCTTATTCCCTCCTCCTCCCAGCCACTAGTGACCACCATTCTACTTTCTGTCTCTGACCACTCAAGGTGGTTTCATAAGGTAGAATCATACAATATCCGCCTTTTTTGTGACTGGCTTATTTCACTTAGCATAATGTCTTTACATTTCATCTGAGTTATAGTATATTTTCAGAATTTCCTTCCTTTTTAAGACTGAATAATATTCCATTGTATGTTTATACCACATTTTGCTTTTCCAGGCATCCATTGATGGAGATTTGTTTGTTTGTTTGTTTGTTTGTTTCACCTTTTGGCTACCGTTAATGTTTGTGCTATGAACATGGGTATACAAATGTATGTTCAAGTCTCTGCTTTCAGTTTTTTTGGATATATGACCAGAAGTGGAATCATGGCATCATATGATAATTGTATGTCTAAAGTTTTTGAGATATGGCTCTACCTTTTTCCACAACAGCTGCATCATTTTACATTCCTGCTAGCAAGGCACAAGGGTTCCAATTTCTCCACATCCACACCAACACTTATATTCTCTTTTTTCCTTTTGAATAATAGCCACCCTAACGTGTGTATGCACAACTACACATAAAAAAAAGGTGAATCTCGTAAAAGCAATATTTATCAAAGGAAAGAAACAAATCCAATAAATTATTTTATTTATATAAAATTTAGGACCATGCACACATTTTTAAAAAGTAAATAATTAGCACAAAATCAGAGTAATGTTTTCCTCCAAGGGAAAGATGGTAGGTAGAAGGTGCACACAGAGGGCTTCTAGGAAGCTGGATAAGCTTTTTAGTCTGCGTCATTAATTTTTATTAAACTCTATATACATGTTTATGCAACTCTGTGCTTAAGTTATGTGTCAGTCTAAAAGAAACGCTACTATTAAATCCTCAATTATGAAAGTCTTACTCTTCAGTCATGAGCTGAAGAATAGCAATACAAGTTGTTGATCGCTCTACTGGATAGAAATCCAGGATAAGAAATACAAATTGAATTTACTCTGAGAAATTTATCTTTCAAGACATATGAAGTATTTAAACTTAAGAGAGGTGAAGAACCTTTTTACTAATATAAATTTAAGATCCAATTCCCTTCAAAGATGTGGACTTTAGGGAAAAAATTAATTGTTGTTAAGGATTATGGTGATTATGGTGATTCTGCTCCATAGCAGCTTCATTAAAGGACCTAGTCTAAGTTCAAGATTAAAAGGTTATATGAAGCATATGTGTAAGAGCAGGACAGAGAAAAATAGCAAAAATATCTTCTTTTGAACCATGGGACTCTTTGTGAAGAAGTTTTATGGTGGCAAAGCCTCAAGAAGAACATCACCAGTGATGTTTTGTGGCAAGTTATATATATTAAAGTTAGTAAAGTTCGGAAATTGAATATGGTAGGCCTCTTGTGTATAACACAAAGCAAGACAATGAGGAAGAAGTAGGTATTTCATGGAAAAATAAAATACCCTGAGAAGACAAAAAGAGGGAGGGGAAGTGAATCATTGGTATAGTGAGTTACTAAAAGTGGCAAAATAGAGAATTAAAAATAATAAATAAGGCTTTTGTATCCTGCAGCTCAGAAGGATATGTTTGGTCCAGATTTCACCCCTGCAGATAAGCATTGAAAAAGGCATGAATGTGAAAGTGTGGTTTTGAGTAGCTTCATCAAAATTGTTTTCTCTTGAATTTTACGTTGACTAAAACAAATCTGGATCTAAGCAAATTGTTTTATATTGTGTTGTGAAATTGTCAAAGATAAAAACTCCTACACTTGTATAGGGCACTTATCATGAATGGAGCTTGCAGGACTGGAAGTTGCTCTGGGTGAATCAGCGAGTGAGTGGTGAGTGAATGAAGGTCTAGGCCTTTATTGTACACCATTAAGTATTTCGTAAAGACTGTACACGGCCTACACTAAGCTTACAGAAAAAAAAATCTTTCTTCAATGATGAATTTACCTTAGTTTAGTGTACCCTTTTTACTTTATAAACTTTCTGAATTATTATAAACTTTTTGACTCATGTAATAACACTTAGCTTAAAACACAAACACACTTAGAGTTATACAAATGTATTTTCTTTCTCTATATCTTTATGTTTAAACTTTTTTCTAAACCTTTTACTTTTTATACTTTTTTTTTCTAAACAGTTAAGGTTCAAACACACACGTTAGCTCAGGCCTACACAGGGTCAGGATCATCAATATCATTGTCTTGCACTTTCCCATTTTGTCCCATTGGAAGGCCTTTAGGGGCAATAACACAAACACACATGGAGCTGTCACTTCCTATGATAACAACGTTTTCTTCAGGAATACCTCCTTAGGGATCTACCTGAGGCTGTTTTACAGTTAATTTTCTTTTTATAAGGAAGAATACACTCTAAAATAACAATAAAATGCATTTAGCTGGTGCAGTCCTCCAAAACAGACAAAGACTAGATCTTATAATGGTTGAAAAAAGGGGGCATCTATATAGTGTATAGTATAGTATATACATATACCAGTACCATAGTCATTTGTTGTCATTATTGAGTATTGTGTACTGTACATAATTGTACTGCTATACTTTTATGTGACTGGCAGCACAGGAGATTTGTTTGCACCAGCATCACCACAAACGTGTGAGTAATGCATTATGCTACAATGTTACAATGGCTATTATATAGGGATAGGAAATTTTCAGCTCCATTATAATCTCGTGATGACCAACCTATACATGTTCCTTCCTTGACTGAAATGTCATTATGTGGTGCATGATTGTATCACACTGTGAGCTCTGGGTCCCATTAAAATTCTAGGAGAAGGTTGAATTTTTTGTTTTAGCAAGAACTAATCTCATCAAGTTTAGAATGCAAGCTGTATCTCGCTTTCTGTATGCCGTAGTTCTAACGTCATTATAGTTTCCCAAGACTTTGCCATGCTGTTCGTGCCTGCCCTGTGCCTGGGCCTCTCAGCCACTAGTCTGGCACTAGGACTGTGATATTTGTATCATAGTTCAGCTCCTAATGGCTTTGATATGCTGGTGTGAAACTGTCCCCCTAATGTGCGGCTTGGGGAGCCCAAGACCCTGAGAGTTATGATGGTTCATGTATAGAATTAGGGATCCCTTTCTCTCACTCTCTCCTCTGAGATTTTTCCCACACTCTCCAGTTCCCATAGGTCCCTCTTACCCGTTCCTCTGGCCAGAAAGGTTGGTTTCTCTCAAAGTATTGTCATGTGATTCTGCACACCTGGGGCTTCCCTTGAGGCAAAGTGGGAAGAGAAAGTTGAGCAAAAATATAAAGGGAAATACCCCATATTCCTTAGGCCACAGGGTTCCTTTTCCCTAGTTCTTTTGGGATTTTTCTTTCAGAGTTTTTGATGGTTCCACCACAGCAGCCTTAGTACAGCTTCCTGATTCTGACCACACTCAGGGAAGAACTAGAAGTGAAAAAAGAAGTAAAGTTCCAAAAAAGGAGTATTGCTCCACACACTCTCTGGAGACCCCCTTTGCAATCTGTACAGAAAGAGGAGGTGTCTCTTGGAGTTTCTTCTCTCTGCTCTCACTGCACACTACATGTCTGGAGTTACCTTCAAGTCAAAGCCAGGAGACAAAAGAGGAAAAACCCTAGGAACTCACTCCCTTACTATTATTTCTCCAAGTTCTGACTTCCCTCCCTAATATTCATGCTATTTTGTACTTTTCAAGGTCCACAGATGGCTGCCTTTTATATTCTGCCTGATGTTTCCCATTATAATTAGTGTAAGACACAGACTATAGTGGGCTTATTCCAACTTGGCCGTCACAGAAAGATCCTCTTCAGCTTTGTTGTTGAAGGATGTTTTACTGATTTTAGAATTCTAGGTTTGCGTTAGGGGTAGAAGTTTTCTTAGCGTATTTTAAGGTTTCATTCCATTTTCCTCCAGATTCCAAAGTTTCTATTGAAAGTCAGCCTTAACCTTTTTTGTTCTTTTTTTCCAAAGACAAGACACTTTCGTCTCTGGCTGATTTAAACATTTTCTCTTTATCTTTGTTTTTGAGCAATTTATTATTTTTTTTTACATATGGTTTTATTTCACTAGTCTATGATTGAGGTTGATAAGTTTCTTGTATCTGTGTTTTGACATCTTTATTTCAGTTTTGGAAAATTTTCTGCCATTATCTTTTTGTTTTCTCTGCTGCACTCTTTATCCTTTATTTTTATGTACAATTGTAAGTATATTTGACCATTAGATAATGCCTACATGTCTCTGATGCTGATATCTTTCTTCTTCATTTTATCTTGTGCTATGCTTCAGAGTAGATGCTTTCTATTTCTAACTGTCTTCAAGTTAACTACTACTGCATTTGCCTGTGACCAGTCTGCTGTTAAATTCAACCATTAAGTTTTAATTTTAGATGATGTACTCTGATTTCTTTTATTTAGATTCCATATCTAAAAGATTCCACATTCATATTCTTTTTTAGATTGTAAATCTTTTTCTTTACTATATATTCCTTGATATTTATGAATATATGGTTAAATAGAGTTAATTTAAAGCTCTTTTGTGCTAAGTGATTAAGTCTAGAAAGAGCTTTGTGTCTCCCAAAAAATTGTTGGTGAGGCTGTTGGCATTCAGAGTATCATGGGATCAAATATATAAAAAACTCACAACATTTTTTATTCAGCTGTATTGGTAAAACTGCCACCAGTCTGGACTGAAAGAGACTGAGGTTTAAAATGTAAAAGGGCAATGGATCTGCAACTCTCTATGTAAAAGAAACAGGCTGAGAAAGTTGTTCAAAGTGCCGATCATCCTATGTGCTCTTTAAAGGTGGCCAAGGAGGGAAACAGAAAAGGAAGTACTTTTCAAAGGGAAGAGCATAGAATTCTGAGGACAGGTAGACTAATGAGAAACTCCCAAGGAAAGGAGTCAGGGGCTAACCAAGGAATATTGTCCACCCCTAGAGGGGATGTGCAAGGCAGCATTTGTTCAGTGGAATTTCAGAATTGCCAGGGATCAGTGACTGTTCAGTCCCCCATTCTTTCCGTTTTTGAATGGGCATGTTTACTATCATTATCCTGACCCAGTTTCAGCACTGTGTATTGAGTGCTGATGGAAAGACAACTTTGTTTCTATTGTTGTGGCTTGTATGTCTTAGAATTAACGAAAGAGGAGGCCGGGCGCAGTGGCTCAGGCCTGTAATTCCAGCACTTTGGGAGGCTGAGGCAGGTGGATCATGAGGTCAGGAGATGGAGACCATCCTGGCTAACACGGTGAAACCGTGTGTCTCTACTAAAAATACAAAAAATAAGCCAGGTATGGTGGCACGCGCCTGTAATCCCAGCTATTCAGGAGGCTGAGGCAGGAGAATCACTTGAACCCAGAAGGCAGAGGTTGTGGTGAGCCGAGGTGGCGCCACTGCACTCAGTCGACAGAGTGAGACTCCATCTCAAAACAAACAAAAAAAAAAAAAAAGAAAGAAAAAGAAAGAAAGAAAGAAAGAAAGAAAAAGAAAGAAAGAGAAAGAAAGAGGAAAGAAACACATGAAAAGGTGGCTCACCAGTCACGGCACACTTATTTTAGAGAAAACAAACCTGAGAGGCGCCTTCTGGCCGAGTTAGGTCAGAGGCACGCTCTCTTATAGACTAAGTTTTTTAAGGATTCAGAGTGGGAGAGTTTATCCAAGGCTTGGACTGCTTCTGTGTCTCTTTGTTGTGCTTATCTAGGAGGGAGAGTTGTGTGTCTGTTCCCATACATCTTTTTTGCAGCTGCAGGCATATCCCCAGAGTCTGCTTTTAGCTTCCCTATCTTAGTGCACCTGAAGGGAAAGGAATGTGCTTATTAAGGCCCACTGTTTTAGGGCCCATTGTATGAGGGTGAAGTTTGGCAGTTACCCAGGGTACCTTCCCCCAACCTTTCTCTGTGCCCAAACTCTCTTATCTGTGTTTTACTGTCTGCTCTTTCTGGCTATTTGTAGTTAGAAGAGAAGTGATTTCCTTGAAATGCATGAGGCTAGAAAGGGAGCTGGAATTTAAAGTGGCGGTGTTTGTCCGAGATGACAGGGCTCCAGCTCTATCAGTATGTTTCTGGATTAAGGAGAACTGCATTCTGACCTGCATCCTGATTGTGAGATTTTGAACTTGATGGCTGATGCCATGATTGCATGAGACTTCTGGTGATCCCAGATTAGGGGTAAGCATATTTTTCATATTGGAAGAATATGAAAAATTGTAGCAATAAAAGTGGACTCTAATAGATTATGATGATGATCCTAATTCATCATCCCTCCCTATATCCACGCCCTTTGCAATCTAACTTTACTATGCTCTCCCATTATGGATGGGTGACTTGAATTGCCTCTCAACATTAGGCCTAACCATGTGTTCCTCTACAGCCAAGGAGTTATTAGCAAATGTCACACACTCTGGGCCTTGAAATTGGCGTATGTATTGGAGCTAACATTTTGCTTGCTTCTGCATTGCCATAAGGACATTTCTAGGCAAGTCCACCGGCCCTAAGAAGAGGATGAGAGGCATGTGAAGAAGAGTCCACCTTGGATACATAGGTGAGCTTGGCCAAGGTTAGCAGTGCCACCTAGCTGACCCAGACATATAAGCATATTGTTATCTGCCACTGGTGATTTGTGTTGTTTGTAATGCAGCATTGTTGTGACAACAGATGACTAATACACTAACTAATGTACCTTTTAAAATGTTGTCTATGATCTGTTCCTGCACCACTAAAATATACGTCCCATGAGGACAGGAATAATTTTTTCTGCCTTATTTCTGTTGTATCTTTAGTACCTCCAACACTTTCTGGCACAAAGCAGTTTTCTCAAATATATATATACACACATATGTATATATGTATATATATATTTAAACAGAGTCTCATTCTGCTGCCCAGGCTGGAGTGCAGTGGTGCAATCTCATTTCACTGCAACCTCTGCCTCCCAGGTTCAAGTGATTCTCCTGCCTCAGCCTCCCAAGTAGCTGGGATTACAAGCATGCACCACAACACCTGGCTAATTTTTGTATTTTTAGTAGAGACAGGGTTTCACCATGTTGGCCAGGCTGGTCTCGAACTCCTGACCTCAGGTGATCTGCCTGCCTCAGCCTCCCAAAGTGCTGGGATTACAGGTGTGAGCCACCACGCCCAGCCAAAAATATTTTTAGTGAATAATGAATTTCAAATTTTAAAAACCTTCTTATGAAAAGACCTCTTGGAGAGTTTAATGTACATACATATTCCAGAGTTTGGACAATTCAGTAGATTGGTACCTGGGGTATGCTGAAGAATGCTGAAGTCCAAGAGTCAACTTAGCTACATGTTTTTGAAACAGAAAAAATTCCCTTGTTCCCCTTGCAGGGAGTGCGATGTGGCTCTCTTCTCCAGTGCCCGCTGCTCAGACCTCCAGGGGAGCATACAGATGGTCAGGCTGTGAGGCTCTGATCCCACAGCAGTGTCTGGGGGTGAATGTTTACAGCTCCTGAAGCCCCAGTGGGTGTGTTCCTCTGCTGATGTGCTCTCTCTCAACGTCCAGCAGCTTCTGTCCCTGCCTTGCTAGGGTCTCAGGTTTTTATAGGCACAGGATGGGACATGGCAGGCCAGAGTGGTCTTGGGAAATGCAACATTTGGACAGGGAATGCCTGTTCTCACCTAGGTCCGTGGGGATGGAGCCCTAGCCAGGGACCATACCCTCCTCTACCCAGCACTTCTGCTCCCTGCTTCCCTATCATTTAAAGGGACCACACTCTTGCCTTCCTAGCACTCACGTACCATTTTCAAGCAGAGAAAAGAACAAGTAGCTACACTAGGATTTGCCTGACTTCCAGAAGGAAAGAGATTCATCTTTCCTTGGCAATCGACATAGACCAAAAGTAAGGGAAAGGTCTGGGGTCTGCTTGTCTTAGTATCTCAAGGCAGCCTCCAAGAGAAACAGATCATAGAAGAAAGAGGCTGCTAGTATTCCAGAGTGCCTAGTGACTGAGAATTCCATGAGAATGGAGATGCAGTAGCCCTCACCGGGCTCTGAACTAGGGGAGTGTGGATTCTCAAAGAATTCATGAAAATGTTCACAATAGAGTCTTCTTATGCATCTGTTTTCCCTACAGCATTCAATTCAAGCACATGAAATATCAGGCAAGTAAAAACTGTCCTCTTCTGCTCTTCATGCCTCAACTCGCAGGGGTCTGAAACTATATCACGTAGAAGAATTAGAAGCACAAGCTGTAGAAACAAAAGAAGCTAATTTTGCACCTTCACTGTTTGTGAGCTTCTCATCTGCAACACTCTTGAATAAGCAAGAGTGTGAGGCCTCCGTTTTGAATAAAATATAGAAATTTGACTATTGAATGGGACTAATTGAATACCTTTCTTTTTTTACTTAAACATTATCAGAGAGGTTATGAAGCCTTCCTGAATGCTCATTCAAGGTAAGGAATTGGCTAACCCCAAAGAACACATTGAAAAGAAAAAATGGTAATAGGATTAAATTAAATACGTTTTATTACATTGCATCAGTTTAGATGTTCAATATATGCTTTTTTAATAAAGAAAAGTTTATTTGGCTAATGATTTTCAGGTTGTACAAGAAGCATGGCACCAGCATCTGCATCTGATGAGGACCTCAGGGTGCTTCCACTTGTGGCAGAAGAAGGGGAGCTAGCATGTGCAGATGCCACATGGCGAGAGATAAAGGAAAGGAAAGAGGAGGAAGGTTCCAGGCTCTTTTTAACAATCGGACCTCACAGGAACTAATAGTGTGAGAAGATGTTTAACATATTCTAATAAGAAAGATATTCCTAATAAACTGCCGTGAGATAACTGCTATATTGGTCTGTTCTCACGCTTCTAATAAAGACATATCCAATACTGGGTAATTTATAAAGGAAAGAGGTTTAATGGACACATAGTTCCACATGGCTGGGGAGGCCTCACAATCATGGTGGGAGGCAAAAGAGAAGCAAAAGCATGTCTTACATGACAGCAGGCAAGAGAGAGTTTGTTCAGGGGAACTCCCATTTACAAAACCATCAGATCTTGTGAGACTATTACAAGAACAGCACAGGAAAGTCCCACTCCCCTGATTCAATTACTTCTGACTGGATCCCTCCCAAGTCACGTGGGAATTATGGGAACTACAGTTCAAGATGAGATTTGGGTGCGGACACAGCCAAACCATATAAACTGCAGTTTATTTTTTCATTATGACTCATATCATAAAGAAAAAGAGTTGCTCCAATAATCTGTACCCCATTTCATATTCATAAGGAAAACATTCTTTTCTTGGCTAATTGTTCATGTTTAAATAAAAATCTTATAATTTTACAAGGTTTTGTCTTTTACACTTGATGCTGAAATCAAGAAGTCTTTTAAAAAATAATTTTCTTTTTTTTTTTTTTTTTTTTGAGACGGAGTCTCGCTCTGTCGCCCAGGCTGGAGTGCAGTGGCGCGATCTCGGCTCACTGCAAGCTCCACCTCCCGGGTTCACACCATTCTCCTGCCTCAGCCTCCCGAGTAGCTGGAACTACAGGTGCCCGCTACCACGCCCGGCTAATTTTTTGTATTTTTAGTAGAGACGGGGTTTCACCGTGTTAGCCAGGATGGTCTCGATCTCCTGACCTCGTGATCCGCCCGCCTCGGCCTCCCAAAGTGCTGGGATTACAGGCGTGAGCCACCGCGCCCGGCCTAAAAAATAATTTTCTTTTAAAACTTTGAGTACAGCTTTTCACTAGGATTGCCAACATGATGAAACGAAGATTTCTCTTATTTAAAGAATATATTAAAGTGTTTATTATTAATTACTCTTTTAATGTAAAGATTTTTGTCTTTTATGGTAATTTGACTTGTTTTGGTTTGGTTTCCATTTGATACTGAGGATGAAGGGAAATTAGAGCAGAATTGCTTATTTACATTATTTCAAACTTCCAACCATGAAAGGAAAAGGTTTGGGATCTCGTTTGTAAAGCCAAGTGTGTGTGTGTATGTGTGTGTGTGTGTGTGTTTGAAAGGGGCTTATTTACACTGGGTTTTACTTTGGTATGGAGGTAACTCTTATCCAAGTGTGGTTGGTTCGAAGGACAAGTAGGGATGATAAGAGGCTGCTTGGCACTAAGGATTAGGTAGAGTTGGGGCTGAGTCATGGTTGTGTGGAAAGCTAGGATCATGGTTGGGGATGGAAGGAGGCTAAATCTGCTACACAATTTGAAACTAGGGCATGATAGTGTGGCAAAGAAGAGATAGAGCTTGAAATAGAAGTAGTTACTTATTTAGCATGTGTATTAATTACTATATGATTAGTTCAGTGTCATCTGACTAAAATGGAGATTAATGTACTAATGATTAATTTATATGGGTTTTGTTTATATTATTATCTAATACAGGCTACTTAATAATCTGAGTTAGAGAGACAATGTTTTATGAGACAAATAAGGTTGCTGCTATCAAAGAAATCAAATAAATGAAGAATGATTATCATATAATAATGAGTGCTCTCTGAGGAGAAAAAACAAAAGTAATTGGGAGTGATTTGAGGGAACTTCTTTAGGTTGAGTGACTAGAAATTGTTACTCTAGAAATACTCTATTTGAAAAGAGACCTGAATGCTAAGAAAAAGCCAGCTATTCAAAATCTATAGCAAACCACTCCACACAGCAAGAACATAAGTGAAAACTGCTAATGAAGAAACAAATCTGCATGTTAGAGAAACAGATAGGGAGTTAGTGTACTGAAGTTTATTGAACGGCAAAAGAATGTTATATTGTGGAATAAGTAAAACCATGGAGAAAAACACATTGTAGAAGAGCTACTCGGATTGCCCTATGATTTTCTGGAAACTTCCTGGCCACAGCCGACTGAAAGGGACATTGTGGTAATGCTGGCTTCTCTAGACTGAAACCAAAGCCTATGGCTTGAAAGATTAAAAAGAGATAATGAGCTTACCATTCATTAAAGAAAGCAAGCCATAAAAATAGCTTAAAATATGGAATAAGCGACAGGCATGTCAATTATTTCTCCTTGGCACTGGATTAACAAAAAGTTGTTGTTGGTGGTGGTGGTATATTAAGTAGAAAAGGTCTATTGGGCCTAAAAATTATTGACATGTGGCCGGGCGCGGTGGCTCACGCCTGTAATCCCAGCACTTTGGGAGGCCGAGGCGGGCGGATCACAAGGTCAGGAGATCGAGACCATCCTGGCTAACACAGTGAAACCCCGTCTCTACTAAAAATACAAAAAATTAGCTGGGCGAGGTGGCGGGCGCCTGTAGTCCCAGCTACTCGGGAGGCTGAGGCAGGAGAATGGCGTGAACCCCGGGGGCGGAGCCTGCAGTGAGCCGAGATCGCGCCACTGCACTCCGGCCTGGGCGACAGCGAGACTCCGTCTCAAAAAAAAAAAAAAAAAAAAAAAAAAAAAAAAAAAAAAAAAAAAAAAAAAATTATTGACATGTACATTATCTATTCTGTAATGAGGCCATCCCTCCTAGTTTCCATTGCAGAGGATTGGATCTGGAAATTGTGTTACTAAGAAAAATGCAGGAGAAGGTTTGAGTGTCCCTATTCCCATATGTAGTGGATTGTCATGCAACATACCTCTCAACCTCTTCCAGTGCATTTCTCCTGTACTGCAAAAGATGTGCAACTGAAAAGAACATTTCCTGGATAGCATTTGATGTCATTTAGATTTAGCCAATCAGAGGCATTCTGGTAAATTTTGGACATGCTGAGGGTCTTTTTTTTTTTTTTTTTTTTTACCTGAAAAGGCACCAGTGTAGGGGTGCCTTATTTTCTGTGTCAGAATTAGGAGAGATTTTCATGTCTGATAACTGACTTCATGGATATAAAGAGGCAGCATGCAGCGTGTCTGTTACTGGTGCAGATTGTAGCAGGTGATCGTGGGGGCTTACTGAATGGAGGAGCTTCCCAAATATGGCTGCTCTGGGCAGCATGAGTTCCTGATTGTAGAAGAGGAGGTGGTTTCCTTGGTTGCCTGATTCAGTTCCTTCTATTGTCCTGATGATTCTCTAAGCTATATTAAGGTCTGTAATAAACTCCTTTCCACTCAAAATCAACTAAGGTAAATTTTGTTCTCTGTAGCTATTCAATACTCCATGTCTACCACTTGAACAGACAGAATAAAAAACCTCTTTGATGGCAACTCAACACCCTCTTCTGTAATAAATAAATAAATTGTGACTTGAACTCCTACTCTAGTTGGCACTATATGTAGGAATATGGATTCTGGGGTCGTGTCTGTTTTCAGTGATCATTTATTACCTTGATCAGAGGGAGTCCTCAGCATCTTTGCCCTCAAGGCCAAGACACGAAGACCCTCCTCCCAATTGCCCCTGAAATTGATCTTCTTCTTGGGAATTTTCGTTCAGCACACTGAGTCCCAATGGGCAACTGATTGCCTCTTTATTTTTTCATGGAGAACCAGAACAGAATGGAAGACTTGAGCAACATCAAAGAGTTAGCTATATTTGAAATCCATATAAAACTTACATTTTGAGTAATGAATAGGATACCATAGAGAACCCATCTCTTCTTGACATGTTTTCCCTGGTTCATAGAAATTAGATAGTAATTATTTTCTCTTGTTTCTGGCATTAAAAACCTAAGACAAAGTCTTAGAATAAGAACTTCAATATTGGCATATCTGGTGGGCTCAAAAACAAAACAAAAATGGCAGCTATAACATCTACTAGGTGTTTATTGTATGTCCCTTCCAATGCAGTACAGACAGAAAAAGAAGAAGCTATAAAGTTTGAAGAGAAAGAAAAGCTATCATTTTTAGCAGATGTTATAACTATGAACAAAGGAAATACACAAAATAATTTCAAAGGTAGACTATGCAATTGATAAGAGTGTGTAGTGAGATTGTTGATTTGAAGGTCTTGTATGATAAAGCATTGTATTTCTGTAGAAAATACAATATTGAAGATTTTTAAAATACCATTTTAAACAACATCATTTCATATTCATAAAAGGGAAATGTGGAAAACACAAAAGTTAATACTGAATAATAATGATGGAATTCTGCCTTATGAAAATATTACCACCACTACCACCATATATGTGTCAATGGACAAAAATAGCCAAGAAAATTTTGCAAAGGAAAATCAAGAATGAGGAAGAGGACACCCTAGATATCAAAGTATATTATAAAATAATAATGTGTGATATTGGCCCAGGAGTACCAAAACATTCCCAAGAAAGGACGAAAGATTTGAGAGACAGGTGAATTCCTGAAGAAAAAGTCATCATGTAGTCAACCAGCAAATATTTATTAAGCACCTACTGTATACCAGGCAGTGTTCTAGGTACTTAGAATATTGTTGAACAAAATAGACAAGGTCTCTCTTTTGATTTTATACTCTAAATAAATAGATGAATAAATGATAGATAATAATTGTAGATCAATAGATTGACAGAGACCAGAAAAATAAGAGATTATATATTTATATTATGATCAATTAAGTGAAAACAAAATGACCAGGTAGAATAGACAATTTCATTGAATTGATTTGTTGGTTTAACTGGCATATTTCATTTCTTCAGTAAACAAGCTGATGCCCGTGACATGCCAACAGCTCACAGCTGTTCTTTGGCCTTCCTGTATATTTCTGCTTCCATTAGTTGAGTTTAATGTTTGCCAAAAGTTGCTGGCGTTTGCTCACAAATCTGTTCATCTCTATTGACTTGTTATTGTAATTATATATTTAAATAAAGTAAATATTTCATTATGAATTAAGAATGAATTTTAAAAGGGAAATTTTAAGTTCTTAAACCATTAAATGCTTTGGAAATAATAACGATAAGTTGTCTAATAAAATATTATTAAATTGGATATAGGTAAAATAACTTTTAAAATGGAGAAAATGAGGTGAAAATCTAAAGGGTTTCTAAATTCAGAATTCTTTGTAATGTTTCACTCTAAATTCTCATAAACTTTTTAAAAAACTAAAATTTGATACGATAGAAAGTTTGTTATGGGTGTTGTTTAGCCATTTAAGATAACCTAAAACTCTAAACAACAGATACATTCTCCAAGTGAAGGTTTGGTTCTATGTCAACATACTGCCAAACAAATATACATGTATACATGTATTTACTTCAGTTAAAATAAAATGTTTACCACATTATATATTTACAAATCATTCTAACTATTCTCAACTGCAATTGACTTTTAAAAATAATTGTTCAACTACCAGGTCTCACAATTGAATATATGGCTTTCACAAATGTGATAACTGATATGAAGAAAATTAATATTTAACTAAGAATAACTGAGTGGCAACTCCAAATTTGGTCATCAGGAAAATCTTTTCTTAGGTTATATTTAAGTTGAAACAAAAATAACATAAAGGAGCTAGAAAGAAGACAATGTACATGTAACAATCAGGAAAAGAAATATTCCAGGCAGAAGGAACCATCCTAACGTAGACTAAACCTGAAATGTTAAAAAAGCAGAAATGAGGTCAGTGGCAGAGATGGCTGGATTTCCACCAAAATTTGTGCACTCCTCCTCCTGCTGCTTAGTGATATTGCTCAGAAATGGCAGTCCAAGTAAGGACTCCACTTTCACGCATTTTCATCTAGGTGGGGTCACATCACTAGTTCTCACCATGAAATGTGACTGAAAGTGAAGTGTGTTGCTGGCACACCAAGGAATTAAGTAATAAGTGTGCCTTCTCCACCCTCTCTCTTTTGCCTTTCATCATTGGAAGCAGAGAGCAGAAGTCCAGTAAAAGAGCAGAATCACAGCATGTGAAGGGCCTGGGTTCCTGAGTCACTATGTGGAGAAAAATATCTAGACTATTAACAATCTGGCAATGGACTGTTATGTGAATAAGAAGAGAATGTCTATTTAGCTAGTCCCCTGAAATTTTTATCTTTATTCCGTATAGCAGCTGGTGTTACCCAAACTAATAAAATGAGACAGTTAAAAGGTAGACAGTGAATTCAGTAGTATGGGCAAAGAGCAGATCACAGAAGATTTTATTAGCCAGGCAGAAGATTTGATTAGCCAGGTAAGAAATCTAGGTTTAATTCTAGATGCTATAAGAAAACATGTGAGGTGTTTAATCATGATACAGATGTGGTAGAGATTAAGTTTTATAAACATTTCTAGCAGTTGTGTGGAAAATGAACTGTAGGAATCAAGAAGGAAGTAGGGGGATGGGGTAGGAGGCTATTTCAACAATTCAGGAGGAATACGGCAGTATGCTAAAGTCAAGTGGCTACAAAGAAGATGAATAAAATGGACTAAGTTGAGAAATATTTTATCATTTAATTGATAGAATTCACCAACTGGCTGAATGTGGAAGTTGAGAATGTGACAAATCAAGGATAATTCCTCCTTCCCCTGATGCCTTTCTGTTATTTCTTTTATTAAATAAAACCAGTGATGTAAACTAAAAAGTGTGGAAGAAGCTAAAGGCAAGATACTCCCACACATCTGAAGTCATAGATAGGTAGGATCTAGTATTTCATAACTGTCCAATCTGATTATTTAAACCTTAAATAGGGGCAGGACTCCAAGAGCTAAGCTGCTATTGACTCCTCACTAGAAAACCTTAATAACAGAGCATCTTGGGGATCTATACCTGAAAACGTTCATAACAAAAGAGACTCACATGGACATGACAAATCTCAAATGATATTGATATCTGCCCTAATTTTGCCAACCACATTTTCCTTGATGACTCCCTCCAAAATAGACAGTAGTAGCAGACACATGTTGGGGACTGTGTGTGAGGAGTGCCCTGTTACATAACTCCAGCTGCTTTTGCATTTGGGTCCTAGTGACTCGTTCTTTCTCCATAAGAGATCACATCCCCATGAAACAGCAGCGGGCAACAGATTTCACCTAGCGTTTCAATATCTCATCACATTGGGCAGAAGTGATCGTTGATTATAGTTTCATTGTGGTTATGTTATTATTTCCACCTGTATTGAAGGTAGATTTATCTATTATTTCATCATAGTTTGTAGGACCAATAAGAGTCATGTTCAAAGCAGTTAAGGAGAAATTCATATCACCAGAGTTCCTGGAGTTGGAGGTTTTTATAATTTGGGATTTTCTCATTTTAGAATGGGACAAATGAAGCTTCAGTTGTGTAAGAACTACATATATTATACTAAAAGGGAGCATCTTCTGAATTTTTTAATGTGAAAAGGAACAGAGAGAAACAGAGAGAGAAAGAGGGAGAGAGACTTCATATATAAGAGCCTTGTATAATAGATTATGATAGTTATTATTTTTATTGCCACTACTATTATGACCTATCCAGCCTTGGTCTTTTTCCATCTTTGTTTAGGAAAAAGAAAATCTGTATTCCTGACACAGAAGTGGGTTCAAATCTAAGGCCTGGTTAATCAGAGTCCCACATCCCATGGCTAAAGTGATTGGTTGAGAAACTGGAATGCCACTCAAGCTAAGCTTTCGTCAGATTATCAAAATGGAGCTGACATGTTTGATCTGTTGCTATTCAGATGATGAGCTGAAAATATGAGATGTCCATCTTCATAGCCATGTAGGAAATGTTTGACTTCCATAGGAGAAAATAAGGGTAATCAATAGGAAAAAAGCCGAACTCAAAGAGACCTACACAGAGAACACAAGCAAGAGACAAAGAAATACATACACACAAAGAGAAACAGAGACTGAAAGATGCAGGGAAATAAACAACATAAACATAAAATATAGACAAAGAAAAAGACAATGAACAGATGGAATGACAGAGAAAAAATGGCAGTGAGGCACACAGGCCAGTAGAGAGATGGAAGGGGGGAAAAGAGGTGGACAGAGAGACAACCCAAGAGGCAGATAATAAATTATATATACACACACATACATATACATATACACACACACATATATATGTAAGAGAGAGTCACAGAGAGAAAAAGAAACAGCGATTCAGAGAAATGGATATAAGGGAAAATGCAAATCGAAGAAAGAAAAGCTATCAAATATATTAATGGGGAGGAGGTCTTTCAGACAGAGATAGAAAAGAGATTTGAAGAGAAAGGAAGAGACAAACAGTCAGAGAGAAATATAGAGTAGAATGAAACAGAAGTGCACTGACAGAAGGGAATGAGGGCAGAAGGGGGAGAGAAGGGTCAGAGAGACAGAGGGAGGGAAATGAAAGAGAAGAGAGAAAAAGGTCCCATTTGTGTCCAGTATCTAAGCGTTTTTCAGAAGCTAAATTCACCTAGAAACTTTGATTGCATGAGCCCCAAAATTAATTTTTCCCCTTAAGATGGTCTAATAGAGTTTCCATTATAAGCTACCAAAATACTACTTTCTAATAAAACCTCCATTGGTAATTATACAATTGGGGAGGTTGGATGGAATCAACAATCATTGTCTTTTGCCCTGAAGAACACGGTGTACTCACCAGAAGATATTTGTGGTGCCGTTTGGTTAAGTTATGGCATTAGGTACCATGACTGGTGCAAAACAATTCTACTTGCACAAATAAGTGAAACTAATCAGACTATTGCAGAAGCCAGGAAAGACTGCTGCACACAATCCCAACTTCCAAGCCCCACTGATAATGGAAAATTAAATTTATTTCATATCTCATTTCACATTCTTATGTAGCACCTGACTTAGACCAAGTATGGGGACTCATGATTTTTGAGTGTCCTTTCCTGGACATTGTCTTCTTTGGGGGTCATAACTGAACTAAAGTTCTAGAATCTGATCCCTTTCTTAGCTCAATGTTTCCCACCAACACCACTACCCTACTCAATCAGAATTAGAAACACAAGTGACTCACAAATCTATTTAATTTTGAAAAACTAATTATTGAATTATAAGAAGTTTGACATTTAGTTCATGATCAGTCTTCAGAAACAGAAGAAGGTAGTAAAAGCTTATGAAAGTACTTATGGTCCAAACAGGGACAGCAGACAGCAGAGAGCAGAGCTCTCATTATCATGGTAGTGAGCAAACATTTAGGAAATTTCTTGCAGGCAGGAATTTAGGAAAGACAAGAACAAGCAACAACCTGGCAGCCACTTCTCAGTCACCATGGGAGTCATGTCCTGATGGGTGACACAGCTGGCAGAAATGGCTTGCTCACAGGCCTGACAGAAGAGTAGCTGGGAATTACAGACAAGAGTAAAGCCAAGACAAGACAAGAAAGAGGTGACAGATCCCAGAAAGAAAAATGTTTGCAGTCAATGCGTGAGCCCTCTAGGAGACAGAAGAAACAATCACATGTCACACCAACCCCTGAAGAAACACAGTCCCTCCCTCCCTTGGGGCCTCTCTGCAGTTGTCAGGACACTAAGGTTGAGCTTATGTCAACACCTGCTCCTCGTTACCTTTCCTGGTAACTGAGTAGAGATGGCAACAGGAATGCCTCATTTTATTGTGCTATGCTTTGTTGTGCTTCTCAAATATTGTGGTTTTTTAAAAATTGAAGGGTTGCACCAAGCAAGTCTATCAGCACCATTTCACCAACAGCATGTCCTCACTTTGTGTCTCTGTGTCATATGTTCGTAATTCTTGTAATATTTCACGTTTTCATTACTATTACATGTCGATCTGTGATCAGTGACGTTTGATGTTACTGTTGTAATTGTTTTGGGGCACCATGAACTGAACCCATATAAGACAATCAACTTTATTGTTAGATGTTGTGTATGTTCAGACTGCTCCACTGACCAGCCATCCTCCCTCTCTTTCGCCCTCTCCTCAGGCCTCCCTATTCCCTAAGAACACAAGAACATTAAAATTGGGCCAGTTAGTAACCCTACAATGGCCTCTAAGTAAAGTCACTTGTCTCTCACTTTAAATCAAAAGCTAGACATGATTAAGCTTAGTGAAGAAGACAGGTCAAAAGCCAAGATGGGCTAAAATCTAGGTCTCTTGCTTTCAACAATTAGTCAAGTTGTGAAAGCAAAGGAAAAGGTCTTGAAGGAAAGAAATTAAAACTGCTACTCAAGTGAACATACAAATGATAAGAAAGTAAAACAGTCTTATTGCTGATGTGGAAAAAGTTTGAGTGATCTGGATCGATCAAACCAGCCACAACATTCCCTTAAGCCAAAGTCTAATCCAGAGAAAGGCCCTCATTCTCTTTAGTTCTATGAAGGCTGAGAGATGTGAGGAAGCTGCAGGAAAAAAGTCTGAATCTAGCAGAGGTTGATTCATGAGGCTTAAGGAAAAAAGCCACCTTCATAATACCAAAGTACAAGATGATGTAGCAAGTGGTGATATAGAAGCTGTAGCAATTTATCCAGAAGATCTAGCTAAGATCACTGATGAAGGTGGCCATATTAAATCATAGATTTTCAATAGAGATGAAACAGCCTTCTATTGGAAGAAGGTGTCTTCTAGGATTTTCAGAGTTAGAGAGAAGTCAATGCTGGCTTCAAAACTTCAAAGATCAGGCTGACTCTCTTGCTAGGGACTAATGCAGCAGGTGGCTTTAAATTGAAGCCAGTGCTCATTTACCATTTCAAAAATACTAGGGCCCTTAAGAATTATGCTAAATCTACTCCGCCTGTGCTCTATAAATGAAACAACGAAGCCTGATAACAGCACACCTGTTTAAAATATAGTTGGCTGAATATTTTAAGCCTATTGTTGGGACCCATTGCCCAGACAAAGACATTCCTCTCAAAATACTACTACTCATTGACAAGGTACCTAGTCATCCAAGAGCTCTGATGAAGATGTACAAGGAGATGAGTGTTGTTTTCATGCCTGCTAATGCAACATCCATTCTGCAACTCATGGATCAAGGGGTAATTTTAACTTTCAAGTCGTGTTATTTAATATATTACATAAGGCTATTGCTGTCAGAGACAGTGATTCCTCTGATGGATCTGGGGAAAGCAAATTGAAAACCTTCTGAAAAGCCTTCACCATTCTAGATGTCATTGGGAACATTCATGATTCATGGGAGAAGGTCGAAATATCAACATTAACAGGAGATTGGGAGAAGCTGATTCCAGCCCTCATGGATGACTTTGAGACGTTTAAGACTTCAGTGGAGGAAGGAACTATAGATGTCATGGAAATAGCAAGAGAACTCGAATTAGAAGTGGAACCGGAAGATGTAGCTAAATTGTTGCAATCTTATGATAAAACTTGAATGGATGAGGAACTGCTGCTTGTGGATGAGCAAAGAAAGTGGTTTCTTGAGAGGGAATCTACCCCTGGTGAGATGCTATGAATGTTGTTGAAGTGGCAGCAAAGGATTTAGAATATTACATAACTTAGTTGAGAAAGCAGCAGCAGGGTTTGAGAGGATTGACTACAATTTTGAAAGAAGGTCTACTGTGGGTAAAATGCTACCAAACATCATCACATGCTACAAAAAATATTTCATGAAAGGAAGAGTCAATCTATGCAGCAAACTTCATTGTTCTTTCATTTTAAGAAATTATCACAGCCACCTCAAACTGCAGCAGCAGCCATCAACATCAAGGAAAGAACCTTCTATCAGCAAAAAGATTATAACTCACTAAAGGCTCAGAGGATTGTTAGTATTTTTAGCCATAAAATATTTTAATTAAGGTATGCACTTTTTTAGACATAAGGCCATTTCACACTTAATAGACTACTATATATTGTAAACATGACTTTTATATGCACTGGGAAACCAAAAGATACGTTTGACTTTCTTGCAGTGCTGTCTGGAACCAAAATCACAATACATCTGAAGTGCACTTTACTCTGTTAAAGTGAACACAAAACATCAGCTTGAAGGGGCCTGTGGAAGGCAGAAGAGGATGTCGAAATGCTTTGGTGATGCACAGGTCGTGGACTAACTGGAATGGTAACAACTGTAATTCCCTCTCATCTCACCTATCACCAAGTTCAGCAGCACTCTCTGCAATTTGGGGATTTGGGGGCATCATCTAAGCCTCACTGAATGACTGATACCACAGGTCGGGTCTTATTCTGAGGAATAATCCCTGAAGTTTAGAGCAGAGACTTTTCAGAACATTCCAGAATTTTTCCAGAATTTTTTCCAGAATATTCCAGAATTTTGTTTCATGCCACATTCATTCAGGAACAGCAAAATAACTGAAGCATGTTCAGGTGTCCAGAGAAACACACTCAACTCTTTTTTCCACCTTATGTGTGTCATATTTCTGGGCAAGGAGAGCAGGGATCTTACCTGTGAGTGGAGCCCTGTCTATTTAAGAATAACCCTCCACCACTCCCTTCTGTAATGATGCAGACATGACCCAGGCCAGGGAGCTCTCAATGCTCCTAATTTCTGTGATCTATTTCCATCCCCACCTTAGCTGCCTTTCCATTACAGAGTCAGACAGGACGAGTTACAACAAAAAGCCTCAGTCCCAGCACCAGTCTCTCCATCTTCTTCAAAGGTGCCTTACCTTTCTTATTCCAAAAATGGCTGGGCCACAAGGCCCAAACCAAGAGAGATCAGCCCCAGCACAAGACCCCAAAGGCCACTCAGCATCTTGCTCTGGGCAGATTCAGACAGTGTCCCTGGGAAGTGAAAGCCTGTGTGTCAGAGCCTGTCCCCACACCCCACAGTGTCCTCATCTGGAAGCCTGGAGTCCTATCCAGGATGTAAGAGACAGAGGTAGTCTGTCACCAAGCAAAGGAGATGACAGGCAGGCAAAGACCCCAAGGGGCAGCATGGATGGATGAGGAGGAGGGGAAAAAGGAGATGACAACTCCTCAAGGATATGTCCTTCTATAACCCCACAGACCATCTCCAAGACATCAGCCCTAAGGTCAAAACCTAGAACTATAACACCTCAGAAGGCACACCGACAAGGCTGACCTATAGTCTGGGAGTCAGGTGATGCAAAGGGGCCACCATAATAAACTGGGAGAAAAGGAGGTCAGTTCTCAGAAAGTGCATTTTGACTTGAGACAATGGGATCTCAGTCTTCCATGACTACTAGTCCAGAAATTATATCGGGATACAGTTGTGTAGGAGAGAAGGTATGAAAATGTATAACAAGCAGAGGTTAGTAGTGACCTCACCCCCACAAGACCCAGAACTCCCCCACCCTTCCTTTTTTCCATTGAATTTATGATATCAATAAAGTGCTCCTTACATCATTCTACTGTGATGGGACTCTGGAGGCTGGGGTGCTCCAGATGGTAGGTGTAGACATCTCCATGCTCGGGTATTATTTCTAGCATTACAAGAATCTGGTAGGTCTAATCCCTATTCTGAATAGGTGTGGATACAACTCCAGCAGTCTGCTCCTGTTTTTTCTGGAACCATCTGAGTTTCACTTGGCAAGGAAAGAAATTTGTCACCAAACAGACCAGCAAATTGTGATGGCTGACCTCTGTCCTAGCTGGGGAGATGGTCACTGCAGGCTCCACTAGGACGAATGACAACAGGAAAAGAAACTTAGAGGGTAAGGCAGCAAAGAAATCCTCATCATGGGCTCACATCCCTCCTTTGATACTAAAGTGGAAAAGATAGCAGATATTAACTAGTCTTCTACTCCAATCCCAGATCTAGGTTTTAATTAGCTAAGTATTAAGTAGCTTGTTAGCCTACTCTTTAGAAAAGCAATACTTTTATTCAGTGGTCACTTGTTTATTAAAACAGATCATTCATGTGAAAGCTCTTTGTAACATAGACTGATAATATTTCAAATACTCGTATATACATATATGTGTAGGTATATGTACTTGCTTTCTTATGTCTGGTAAAAATAATAATTAAAAAAGATCTGACAATGTGTAACTATGTGTGATTTCTTACAAAACAGAGATCTTCATGTTTAAGTAAATCTTTAGCTCCATTATTCACAGGTTTTAGGGAAAACTGGCTAGCCATATGCAGAAAACTGAAACTGGACCCCTTCCTTACACCTCATACAAAAAATTTTTGACTTTTCTATTTCTCCTTTCATTTCTATCGGCTTTTGTCTCATGTATTTCGATGCTCTGTTGTTAGGTGCATACACACTTAAGATTGTTATGTGTCTTTGGAGAAATAACCCCTTATCATTAAATAATATCCCTTTATCCCTGGTAATATTCCTTGTTCTGACATCTACTTTGTCTAGTATTGACATAATTATCTCATTGTGGTTTTGATTTGCATTTCTCTAATGACCTGTGATGATGAGCTTTTTTTCATATGTTTGTTAGCCACATAAATGTCTTCCTTTTGAGAAGTGTCTGTTCATATATTTTCACCACTGTTTGATGGGGTTGTTTTTTTTCTTGTAAATTTGTTTAAATTCCTTGTAGATTCTGGATATTAGCCCTTTGTCAAATTGATAGATTGCAAAAGTTTTCTCCCATTCTGTAGGTTGCCTATTCACTCTGATGATAGTTTCTTTTGCTGTGCAGAAGCTCTTTAGTCTAATTAGATCCCATTTGTCAATTTTGGCATCTGTTGCCATTGTTTTTGATGTTTTAAAGTCTTTCCCCTGCCTATATCCTGACTGGTATTGCCTAGGTTTTCTTCTAGGGTTTTTATGGTTTTAGGTTTTATGTGTAAGTCTTTAATCCATCTTGAGTTAATTTTTGGATGAGGAGGAGGAGAAAAAGGGGCGGCAACTCCTCAGGAGTATGTCTTTCTATAACCCCACAGACCACCTCCAAGACATCAGCCCTAAGGTCAAAGCCCAGAACTTCAACACATCAGAAGGCACACTGACAAGTCTGACCTGCAGCCTGGGAGTCAGGTGATGCTAAGGGGTCACCATAAAAACCTGGGAGAAAAGGAGGTCAGTTCTCAGTATGTCCTTTTGACTTAAGAAAGTGGTCCAATTTCAGTTTCTGCATATGGCTAGCCAGTTTTCCCAACACCATTTATTAAATAGGGAATCCTTTCCCCATTGCTTGTTTTTGTCAGGTTTGTCAAATATCAGATGGTTGTAGATGTGTGGTGTTACTTCTGGGGCCTCTGTTATGTTCCATTGGTCTATATATCTGTTTTGGTGCCAGTACCATGCTGCTTTGGTTATTGCAGCCTTCTAATATAGTTCAAAGTCAGATAACGTGATGCCTCCAGATTTGCTATTTTTGCTTAGGATTGTCTTGCTATACGGGCTCTTTTTTGGTTCCATGTGAAATTTAAAGTAGTTTTTTCTAATTCTGTGAAGAAAGTCAATGGTAGCTTGATGAGGATAGCATTGAATCTGTAAATTACTTTGGCCAGTGTGGCCATTATCACAATACTGATTCTTCCTATCCATGAGCATGGAATATTTTTCCATTTGTTTGTGTCCTCTCTTATTTCCTTGAGCAGTGGTTTGTAGTTCCCCTTGAAGAGGTCCTTCACATCCCTTGTAAGTTGTATTCCTAGGTATTTTATTCTCTTTGTAGCAATTATGAATGGGAGTTCACTCATGATTTGGTTCTTTGTTTGTCTGTTATTGGTATATAAGAATGCTTGTGCTTTTTGCACATTGATTTTGTATTCTGAGACTTTGCTGAAATTGCTTGTCAGCTTAAGGAGATTTTGGGCTGAGATGATGGGGTTTTTTAAATATACAATCTCTTGCCAGTCAGAATGGTGATCATTAAAAAGTCAGGAAACAACAGATGCTGGAGAGGATGTGGAGAAGTAGGAACGCTGTACACTGTTGGTGGGGGTGAAAATTAGTCCAACCATTGTGGAAGACAGTGTGGCGATTCTTCAAGGATATAGAACCAGAAATATCATTTGACCCAGCAATTCCATTTTGGTCATATACCCAAAGGATTATAAATCATTCTACTATAAAGACACATGCACATGTATGTTTATTGCAGCACTGTTCACAATAGAAAAGACTTGGAACCAACCCGAATGCCCATCAATGATAGATTGGATTAAGAAAATGTGGCACATATACACCATGGAATACTATGCAGCCATAAAAGAGAATGAGTTCATGTCCTTTGCAGGGAAATGAATGAAGCTGGAAATGATCATTCTCAGCAAACTAACACAGGAACAGAAAACCAAACACCATATGTTCTCACTCATAAGTGGGAGTTGAACAATGAGAACACATGGACACAGGGAGGAGAACATCAAGAAAAAAACACAGAATATTATAACACTGCAACTGTGGTGTGTAAACTACTCTTATTCTAAGTAGTAAGACTACGTGATGAACCAATAAAAAATAATAACTACAACAAGTTTTCAAGACATAGTACAATAAGATGTAAATAGAAAAAACAAAAAGTTAAAAAGTGGGGAGATGAAGTTAAGGCAAGTTTTTATTAATTTTCTTTTGATTTTGTTTGCATGGTATACAGTTTCATTCATTTTACTTTTAATGTAGGTATGCCTTTATATTTAAAATGGGTTTCTTGTAGACAGATTATAGTTCAATTGTGCCATTTTTACTGTCTGATCTTCTTTATCATTTAATTGGTGTGTCTAGGCCAATTATATCTATGAAATTATCAACATGGTTGGATTATTTTTGCTAGATATTTTTTATTAATTCTATTAAACGTTTGTTCATTTTCAAAATTGTTTTTCTGCCTTCTTTTGGATTAGTTTTTGCCCTAGGATTTTACATTTATGTATAATATACTTTCAAATATACCTTAGCTCAGTATGCTCCAAATTTCTCTCTCTCTCATTCATTGTGCAATTGTTATCATATACTTTTTTATATTCCATAAACACACAATATATTGCTACTAATTTTGCTCTAGACCCTCTGTTACCTATAAGGTAACCTTTCAAAGACAATTCCGTTTGTTATTTAATATCATCCCCACCAATTCTTTGTCAGTAACAACTCCTATATGAATGAACTAGTTGCTTTAAACAGCTCTCTTAAATAAACTACACAATAACAAAAAAATAGTATGGGGAAAATACTGCTCCCTAATAGTCTTCTGTGGGAAAACACGCAAAATTACTCCCATGTGCAGATCTGCTTTCACCATAGCCCCAGGTTACTCTTCAGCTAAACAGAATAGGTTATTTGATAAAGACTTTGTGCAGAGACTATAGTATGTAATCAATAAATACTTGTTGAGTTGAACTGAAATTCTTAATTCATCTGAATCAGGTTGTAGAACTGACTACTGGGAAACAGATAATATTCCTCACGCCTAATAGCGATTGATTCTTTTCCTAGGAGCTCTCCAATCCTAATGTACATATTGTGAACGTTCTTTGAATAGATCTTTTCATTTATTTATTTTTAGAGACGGGGTCTTGCTACTGAGACAGCCAGGTGGGAAGGGATCCCCAGATAAATTCCAGCCAGCCTGAGCACTGGGAGGAGTGCAAACTGGGACGGAGCCACAGAAGTTTGCACCATTTGCGGCAGGGAGGAGAGTGACCCCTCTTCTTTGGGTGGAACGTGGAATTCAATCTGTGAGGTGGGAAGCCCACTGGCAGAAAAAAAATGCATTCTCTCACTTTGCTAAGAGCCTCTGTTTCCCCTTTTCTTCCTTTTCACCCAATACTCAACCTTCAAGTTGTCCTACTCACCCTTCAAGTTGTCTGTGAATGTAATTTCTTGTGGCTGTGTGGCAAGGACGCTGTCATTAGCTGAACTAAGGAAAAGTCCTGTAACACTATGTTTCCCAGGCTGGCCTCAAACTCCTTGGCTCAAGTGATCTTCCTACCTCAGTCACCTGAATTGCTGGGAGTATAGGCACACACCTCCACAGTCAGCTGTACAGTTATTTTTACTTAGCATTAGTGATTTTAAAATGACAAATAATTTTAAATGGAAACTTTAAAAGCAAGTGTTTATATGAAATTATTCATATGTATTTACCAAAGGTCATCATGTATATGTAAAGCATTTTACCTAGAAATTTTAAGTTGTGATTTTGCCAGAACATTAAAAACAGAAATAATAACACAAGAATAATTCAAATGTTTTAATAACTGACAACTTTAGGGAAAAATGAATCCAGATATGTGTGATGTTTGGGGATTTTGAAAAATACCTCAAACAAAAGAAATATTTTATAAATTATTTACAATGATACAAGTTGAGTAAAAATTATTCTTGCTATAGTATTTCTCTAAAAGTATCCCATTGACTAAAGAAGATTGGCAAGGACAATCTTGCACCTGAGAGATGGTGGAGCTTGAAAGGCTTACAATGGGCACTAAAGAGAGAAGATGGGGGCAGGGGAATGCTTCCACTCTCATTTGTCCTCCTCTCCGCGCCTATGCACTTGAGATAGTCATGCATTCATTATTATCTTTGAGTCGTGGGAATATTGGTGTCCATGGGATTTTTGCACCATAAGAAATGTAAAAGGAAGACCTTTACACGGTAGCCATATGATATCACATAGAAACCTGGATCTATACAAAGAAATAAACTCTGGAAATGAAACATTTTTTCACATTTAAAAAATGGTCTAAAATGAGGCTTCTCAACCTCAGAACTGTTGGCATTTTGTTTCAGGTGATTATTTTCTTGTAGGAGGCTGCCATGTGCATTGCAGGATGTGTAACAGCACCCCTGGCCTCTACCCAATACATGCCAGTAGCACCCTCCCCAGTAATGACAACAAAAGTATCTCTAGACATTGTCAAGCATCACTTGCAGGAATTTTCTATTGGCCCCATTTTAGAATGTCTGTGTTACAGAATCATACGAAGATACTAAATCGTTGTTGGAAGTCATTAAGTTTTGGAATAGTTTGTTACATAGAAAAATCTGACAGATACAACAGTCTTCAAAGAAGTTCTGTTTCCTAGAAATCTCTTAGTGTTTCTGTGGCTCACAGGCTCCTATATGCCTGGAGTGCCACAGGGAGAAGCTTAAATGAATGAAGAAAAAGTAATAGTCTGTCCCAGCCCAATGTGTGATGTTACTATCATTATCATTATTAATATTTGTCTTTATGTAGCAGCTCCCACTTGGGAATAGTTGCTAGGTGTCAGACACTGGCCTGTATTTAACTGTATAATTTGTACTTATCTATCATTTCATCATATTAATTATCTTCTAATAGTTTTCATCCCACATTATAGAAAATAACCCTAAGGCTCAGGTATTCTGAGTGGTTTGCCCAGGGTGATGGAGCTGAGAAAATCAAAAGCAGCATGGAATACATATTTATTTTATTACAAAATCTATAATATTTTTATTTTGCTACTCTAGACTCTGTTATTGTTGTGAAGCACCTTTAACTACTGCAAGATAGAAGTCTCGGCCTTCAGAGTAAAATTTCATCAATGTATAAAATTAGACTTAAAGATAGGGTCTTAGAGAATGTTATAACTGCTCCTTAGAACTAACATAATTTCTGCCTAATTTCTTAGAGGGCCCTTAATAATATCAATTGTAATGGCATATCCCATTGATATTTTAGTTACAAAATCAACGGCATGTCAATTAGTGCTTTCTAAGAAAGTTATTAGGCAAAGTAGTATTTTGAGCTCCAAATTTTATTCCCATTATTACTTTATGAAAAGGACTTTTTTCTTTTCTTTTCTTTTCTTTCTTTTTTTTTTTTTTTTTTTGAGATGGAGTCTCGCCCTGTCACCAGACTGGAGTGCATGGAGTGTAGTGGTGTGATCTCGGCTTACTGCAACCTCCGCCTCCCGGGTTCAAGCGATTCTCCTGCCTCAGCCTCCCGAGTAGTAGCTGGGACTACAGGCGCGTGCCACTACACCCAGCTAATTTTTTTTTTGTTTTTGTTTTTGTTTTTGTAGAGATGGGGTTTCACCTTGTTGGCCAGGATGGTCTCGATCTCTTGACCTTGTGATTCGCCTGCCTCAGCCTCCCAAAGTACTGAGGACCTTTTCTATTTCTACAAGTAAGAAATTGGTTTCTGTTAAAATGGTATACTGTTCTTCTGAGTCTAATTTACTGATTATTCTATCTTGCATTAAAATTATGACCTGAAAACAGAAGCAAATAGAACAAGGTTCGCTATATTCTGGCTGGATGAAGCAGGAGGAGGAGAGGGACACAAAACCAGTTAAAGATAGAAAGGGCATCTATTATCTTTTAGTCAATGACCTGGCCTTGCTTGGACTTTCCCTCCATCCCACAGGATGTGAGATCTGAGACTGAACCCATGACTTCCCTTCTAAGATACAATTCTGATCCCACATTTAACACCCTAACTTCCTAATTAGAGTTGAGTTTTTTAAACTGTGATATTAATAGGGGAAATTCTGGAGTACTATCAGGAAAGATTTAGTTCATTTGCCAAAATCTTAAGGAATTTCTGTCAGATACAAAGCAGGTAAGTCTGGATACAGGGGAAAAAAGATAGAAATGTGTTATTTACTACACAGCAAAGAGGATGCTGCACGGTGAAGGGAGCAGAGCTCAACTGCAACCTCCAAAACCCTCTTAGTTCACAATGGCAGTGGCTAGAAAGAGTAATAAGGCCACGTACAGTGTCATATATCTCTCCTAATCGTATTAGGGCACTTACTCAGAATCCACACAGAAGGAGACACCCCTCACCCCTCATGAGGAATCATGGCTTGCCCCTGTAGCATCCCATCTCTACTACTTACGAGCCATGTGACCCTGGGAAAAGTCCTTTACCTCTCTGAGTTTTAATGTCCTCCTTGAAAAATGTGGATGATACTAAAGTATGACAAGTATTTATAAAGAGTAATTCATTCCAAGTGCAGTATATGTACATTCCTCACAACCGCCTAATGAGGTACCATCAGTGCCTCCGGCCAAAGACCACGAAGAGCATACCCTTGAATGAACAAGTTGGCTTTATTGTCCGTTGCAATGATGGAGAAAAGTCACCATGGGGAATCATGCAGCAGTTCAGTAAGAGATTGTTGGAACCAAAGAAGTAGAACTAGGAGAACACATATATTAAGAGAATGACTGAAAGGAATTAATTTGTGCAACTGTGCGGGTGGACTAGGGAAGCCTAAAACCCACTGGGAGGCAGTCATCAGGAAAGGCAGGTTGAAATTCTTAGCACTGGCTGACGCGCTGTCCACAGTGGAATTTCTGTTTCCTCAGAGAAGCCTCAGCTCTGCTCTTAAGACTTTTCAACTGCTTAGACTAAGCTCACCCAATTTATCTCAGATAAATTCTTACTTAAAGTTAACTGATTATGAACTTTAATGACATCTACAAAATATCTTCACAGCAACACCTAGATTATTAGTGTGTGAATAACTGGGGACCACAGTCCAGTCAACACATAAAATTGACCATTAATCAATTGTAAGATTTGTGCTTGTGTTAGGTAGTTTTGAGGAGGATTTAAGAAAGAGGGACTTCATTTTTAACTGGATTCTGACAGAAAGCAGGGAGTGGGGATGGCAATGCTATGATTGGGTAGCTTCATAAATACTACCTAGAGGGACGGAAGACTATCCTGAGGCTACGGCTGTGATTGGTAAAGAAGCAGCAATCACTCTTTCGAGAGATGTGCCTGGTTATTTTTGTAGTTTGGACAATATTCATGTTTTGTCTGGGTGCAGACGTGATGACTGAGTGGCCTTATTTTCTGTCTCAGTCCATCACACTCATGGAGTACCTGTCTGATTCTGATGTTCTATGAAATTGATTATCTTCAACAGGAGAATCAAAACCAGCTGTGAACACCAGGCTAGCTCCTAGCAACCCCAAGGCCTTGTTAATTGCATCCAGGCAGCCCCCAGGTATCAGGACACTTTTTTATTTTACCTTTTTTTAGTCTCTGCCATTGGGAGGCAAGACAACATGCTGAGAATCTCAGAAGGCCATTCAACAAGGACAGAGTGATTCTAAACGAAACCTCCATTACTAACTTGTTGTTTCTATAACATACAGAAAATAGATTCATCTGAAAAAAGGTAAGTTTCCCTGTGATGACTACATTTTAGCTCATTCCCTAGTCCCTTGCAATATCTGAAATCTTAATGTGGTTGGATAACAAATATGAAAAGATCCAGTAGTTTAAGAAAAGTAAACCTATTTTCTAAGTTAAAGCAATTCTCCTTATTCTACTCTCAATATTTGACTTGACATTCTTAAATTTAAAAAAAATAATTACTGGCCGGGCGCGGTGGCTCACATCTGTAATCTCAGGACTTTGGGAGGCCGAGGCAGGCAGATCACGAGGTCAGGAAATCGAGACCATCCTGGCTCACACGGTGAAACCCCATCTCTACTAAAAATACAAAAAATTAGCTGGGCGCGGTGGCGGGCGCCTGTAGTCCCAGCTACTCGGGAGGCTGAGGCAGGAGAATGGCGTGAACCCAGGAGGCAGAGCTTGCAGTGAACCGAGATAGCACCACTGCAGTCCGGCCTGGGCCAAAGAGCGAGACTCCGTCTTAAAATAAATAAATAAATAAAATAAAATAAAATAAATTATTAGAGTAATTGAGCCAGCCAAAGCTTTTTTAATGTAATCAATGTCCCTAAATTTCCTTTAAATATATTCAAGCAGCACCGAAACACAGAGCATAAAGATTACTAGAAGCAAAAGAAAAAACTGTGTAAAAGATCGGTTACTGTAGGCAGCACCGCATGACAGTCTAACCCCTTTAATTGCCCTGGTCAAAAACACCTGGAGCTTTTGAGAACTTACCCAACTGGATTTATACAAGTAGAAAAGGCAAAGGTATTGCTTGGCTACCACCAGCAGAGATCCCTAGGAAGGTGGGGTCAAGTCAAAATTTGGGGAATACCATATACACTATGGAAGCAAAAAGAAAAACAGCTAACCCACATACAGAAGCCAGAGAAAGGGGAGGGGATGGGGACTGCCAGGGAGGAAAATCACTTCAGGGAAGAATTCCTGGAGAATGTAACCCAGAAAACCCTGAAGGATGCCATATTATTGATGACCTTACCTATCCAAGCGGCTGCTCAGAAATTCCCGCCCCTCTTGACACTAGCAGACATGCACACATGACAGAAGATTCAGATTTAGTATCTTCCCTTTATTTATAGAAAATTTCCTCAAGACCATGCTGTGTGGAGGATGTGTCAGAACCAGAGGATGTCCCTGTCTTCTTCCAGGGCTCTTAATATAAACTCTGCAACTGGCAAACAATATGTCACCATAGGGGATTTTTCTGATTGGCCAAAACCTGACCTGGCAGGGTTTGGTTTGGGTGTCTTCAGATTTGCTTGTCTCGAGGTCCTCACAATTGCTCTACAGCTCAGAGCAGCAACTGCTGAGGCTGCCTTGGGAAGAAGATGATCCTAAACAAAGCTCTGCTGCTGGGGGCCCTCGCCCTGACTGCCGTGATGAGCCCCTGTGGAGGTGAAGACATTGTGGGTGAGTGCATGAGTGAGGAATGTTCTCTGGAGCTGAAAAACAGCAAATTAAAGGAAAAGAAAGAGTGCAATTTGCTAAGAAATAGTAGAAATTTCCCAAGGGTCTTTTCAATATTAAGAAATTTTAAAATTATGGCAGTTCCTCCTTTAGGAAACCAGAGCTCCAACCGACTCTCTTTGCTACCTGTGCTATTGGAGTTTACCAAGGACGTTGTTCTGTTTATATTATATCCAGAGACTATAGCCTGGAGGTCTGTGTGGCATTCCATCATGATTGCCTCAAAGACTAGGGATGTTTCCATGAATGGAGTATTTTTTTGTTATTAAAAATTTCTGAACTGTTACTCCCAAATTTCTCTGAACAACTTTTGAAGCTTTTCATATGCCTCCTATAGCATATGTTGGGGTAGATAGTTCCATGAAGTATGTACACTCTATAGATATAAAGAAAGAGGTTCTTTTCTTTCTCTCAGACTTACATTTCCACATGGGAATTGGCACAGGTGGGGAGTAGGTGAAAGAGCCCAGCAGGCTGAATGCCTTCAACAATCATTTTACCACGTGGTAAATGTGGTACTTACTCTCTGCTACCTCATATATGTCACCTCGCTTATGATCAAATAAAATGGGCATGTAGATATGCTTTATGAATAGTAAAAACATGAATGTCAACTTTTTTTAACTTATTCCTATTACAGGTATAACTTCGTATTTTTTCTTTAGCAAAGTAAGGAATATATTTTAAAACTGAGAACTTTATGATAAAATGCTTGGTAAATTAAATTATTTTATTCTCAAATTGTCAACCCAAATTACTTGTTCTTCACCTTATCTAATGAAGTCTTATAAAGAGAAAAATGGGCAGGCACAGATTATTTGGTCCCTTAGTCCCCTCTGCCTTTGTCGTCCATCTCTTTCCACCTCTCTTCATGCATCCCTTTCTCCCTCTTCCCTTTCAGGATCCATCTCTGACTCCCTGCTCCTTTACAGACATGGGCAGTGGGTTTGTAAAACAAAAGTTGGAAAGTCAAATAGTTAAAAGGGGAAGTGAACTGGAAGCTACTCGAAACTTCCACAACCTTATTAACCATAGCTGCTCCCATTCTGATTTTGTTTGGCAGTGGAAGTTTCACCTGCTTCTCCAGAGCACTTGGCTTTTTTTTTTCAAATCTCCTTTCTTCAACCTCACACCAGAGTGCCCCGGTCAGGCTCGACTTATCCATTAGGAACAGTGTGGGCAGTGAAGGAGACTCTCCAAACTGTAAAGCTACAAGAGAACGTTTTAACTCGTTTTAAAATTAGAAGAAAAATGAAGTTTTACAGTCTATGAAAATGTTTTAACTTTTTTTTTTTTTTGACGGAGTCTCGCTCTGTCGCCCAGGCTGTAGTGCAGTGGCGCGATCTCGGCTCACTGCAAGCTCCGCCTCCCGGGTTCACGCCATTCTCCTGCCTCAGCCTCCCGAGTAGCTGGGACTACAGGCGCCCGCCACCGCGCACGGCTAATTTTTTGTATTTTTAGTAGGGACGGGGTTTCACCGTGTGAGCCAGAATGGTCTCGATCTCCTGACCTCATGATCCGCCCGTCTCAACCTCCCAAAGTGCTGGGATTTGTACAGGCGTGATCCACCGCGTCCGGCCTTAACTTTTAATGTAGCCTGGATTGTATTTGTCTTTATACCAATACAATCAGAAGCTGTAATTTTCCGTATTTTTATGGAGGAAGGCGCCCACAAAAGCAACAGTGCTCGGGGCTCACAAGTCAGAATTCAGCCCTGGGCATCCCTGATCCTGGGCTTTGCGTGGTTCTGCTACCTGGGTGCCTGTCAGTCTTCCCCAAAATCTATGTAATTGTCAAAAATTGCAATTGTCATTCAATACACATGTTTGAGCACACAATGAGCTAACTTTTGGGAATTCAAAGATAAAAAATCATGCTGTCTGCCTTGCAGAGGGTGCACAAACCAGTGATGGAAACAGTATGGGGCACAGGAAAGCAGAAGGCCCTGCTGAGCAGGACAGTGGCCCAGCAGAGGCTGAAACTATAAAAATGACTTGGTTCCAGCTGGGCCAGTAGAGTGATGTCCTCCAGCAACACTCAGCACCCAGGACAAGTACCAGATGAAAAGAAGGATTGCATGTATTCCACATATATTCATGTTTGAACAAGGAGTCAAAGTTTATTGTAAGGATAAGGAGTCTTTGTTGGTGGCCTGTTAAGTAACCAACCAGGGCAGTCATGCTGGGTAGGGAAGAAGGTGAGCTGGAGGAGGAACAGACAAACTTGGAGAGCCAGACATTGAGATTCCATTGAGGCGTTGGAGGTCACAACGCGGTCAAAAACATGTTGAGAGCACTTAGCTGCAAAGTTGTTAACTAAGTAGAAACCTCAAGGATGAATTTTAGGATTTCTCCAGGAAATCCTAAAAGATAACTTCTTTCAGGGAGAAAAAACAGACCCTTGCAAAGACATGAAAGGAAGTGTAGTTTGGTTTGATTGGCAGATAGTTGTGAAGAATGTCGGACTGTAAGGCTGTCGATATCCTCCTCACAGAACTCCCCAAAGTACATTGTATTTGCTCCCTTACCGACCTGATTCTCCCACTATTCAGTTCATTCCTTGATGCTGTTTTAAGCAACCCCTGCTCTGTCTGACACTTTTGGATGCTCAGTAAATGAGGAAGGAAGGAAGGAAAGATAAAATGGTAAAGGGCTCACACATGTCTTAACAAAAATGTCCAGTTCGGCTCATTTGGCTATACTTCATGGCTGCTGCTCTGCCCTTGCATCCTCGGATAAGCTCACTGCCCATTAGAGGAAAAAGGGTTTAATTTACCTGAGTCCTCGAGTGAATGTAATTGTTGAATCAGAACACTATAGACATTTAGTAACCTCCTTCAGAGGAAAAAAAAAAAAAGTGGGGGCAATGACAGAAATTAAAAAACCAGTCGAGCTTCCACTTTTCATTTCAGAAGAAATCAGGTGCTCTCCTCTAAGGACCACTACTATTAACAAAACAGAGACCTTAGAAGAATTGTTTATTTGTTATAAATGTATAATGTTGCTATTCTTGTAATAGTCTTTCTCGTACCCTATAATTGTTAGAAGAAATTCTTTTAAGTTAATACGTTCCTACATGCTTTTCTTTGGTTTAAAAAAAAAAGAATAAAGGAAACTCTGTGTAGAAAGTGTCCTGTTCTGATCTAGTCCTGACAGGAAACGAAGTATAATCAACTTGTTATTAACTGAGAGAGAAAACTTAGGAAGCAGAGGGAAATAAACTGAATCTCTGAGTAAGAAAACTAAATCCTATGATAACTCATTCATTCCTTCCTTTGTTTATTGCAATATTCATCATAAGCTTATGATGTGCCAGGCACTAAGTAGGCACTCAGGAAATAACAGACGTGTGACGTTCTGCCTTTGTGGAGCATATGTTATAGTGAGAAAGACAGAATCAGTTCTAACCTGATGACTACCAACGTTAGGCAAGGAGGAAGCAGGTGTTAGGAAGATTGTTCAGGGACTGTGCCAAAGATGAAGCCCATAATATTTGAAAGTGAGTTTCTTCAATCACTTTCTGTATTAAGGTTCTTTCTCCCTGTGTTCCACCCTCCTGCTTGTCACCTTCACTCGTCAGCTGACCATGTTGCCTCCTATGGTGTGAACTTCTACCAGTCTCACGGTCCCTCTGGCCAGTACACCCATGAATTTGATGGAGACGAGGAGTTCTACGTGGACCTGGAGACGAAAGAGACTGTCTGGCAGTTGCCTATGTTTAGCAAATTTATAAGTTTTGACCCGCAGAGTGCACTGAGAAATATGGCTGTGGGAAAACACACCTTGGAATTCATGATGAGACAGTCCAACTCTACCGCTGCCACCAATGGTATGTGTCCACCATTCCGCCTCTCTTTACTGAAACTAATCTTTCATACCAAGTTTTACTCCCTTCTTCTCAAGAGATTTCCGGATCTTCTCATGGTAATTGCTGAAATTTTATCATCTCCCATCTCTAAAATCACATATTCCCATGTAATACAAGGGTCTTTCCATTATGTATTAATTCCTACTTTATTAAACATGCCCACAGAGAGAAGGGCACAGGAATAAAGCAGAGGCAATGTGTCGTTGCTCCCAAGCAGAAGGTAAATAAGACCTCTTTGACTATCAGGTGGTGAAATGCTGGTAAGAGGGCTCTTCCAGGATGTAATGCAGAAGCTCATGGCAGAGCTATTCACACTTCACATCAGTGCTGTTTCCTCACCACAGAGGTTCCTGAGGTCACAGTGTTTTCCAAGTTTCCTGTGACGCTGGGTCAGCCCAACACCCTCATCTGTCTTGTGGACAACATCTTTCCTCCTGTGGTCAACATCACCTGGCTGAGCAATGGGCACTCAGTCACAGAAGGTGTTTCTGAGACCAGCTTCCTCTCCAAGAGTGATCATTCCTTCTTCAAGATCAGTTACCTCACCTTCCTCCCTTCTGCTGATGAGATTTATGACTGCAAGGTGGAGCACTGGGGCCTGGACGAGCCTCTTCTGAAACACTGGGGTAAGGATGAGTTCCACCACTTCATGGGTTTCTAATAACAGACTTCACTCTTCTCCCTAAGCCTGGGGCCTTGAGTCTTGCAGAGCCAGCCCTCCACCCCATCCCATCCCACACACATGCACATGAGCACACTGCACATTCTGACCTCAACAGCTCCACTTTCACAGAGCCTGAGATTCCAGCCCCTATGTCAGAGCTCACAGAGACTTTGGTCTGCGCCCTGGGGTTGTCTGTGGGCCTCATGGGCATTGTGGTGGGCACTGTCTTCATCATCCAAGGCCTGCGTTCAGTTGGTGCTTCCAGACACCAAGGGCTCTTATGAATCTCATCCTGAAAGGAAGGTAAGATTGAGATTTGTTGGAGCTGAAACCTCAGTATGAGAGGGAGGAAAGTGGGAGGGGGTTGTGGACATGAATGTGGTTGAAAGTTGTAGGCGAATTGGGAAGTGGCATGATGATCACACAGGAGGCCCCTCAGACCCATCGATCTCATGTCTGTCCTGTTGCAGGTGCATCACCATCTACAGGAGAAGAAGAATGGACTTGCTAAATGACCTAGCACTATTCTCTGGCCTGATTTATCATATCCCTTTTCTCCTCCAAATGTTTCTTCTCTCACCTCTTCTCTGGGACTTAAGGTGCTATATTCCCTCAGAGCTCACAAATGCCTTTCAATTCTTTCCCTGACCTCCTTTCCTGAATTTTTTTATTTTCTCAAATGTTACCTACTAAGGGATGCCTGAGTAAGCCACTCAGCTACCTAATTCCTCAATGACCTTTATCTAAAATCTCCATGGAAGCAATAAATTCCCTTTTGATGCCTCTATTGAATTTTTCCCATCTTTCATCTCAGGGCTGACTGAGAGCATAACTTAGAATGGGTGACTCTTATGTTTTAGGCCAATTTCATGTCATTCCCCAGATCATATTTCATGTCCAGTAACACAGGAGCAACCAAGTACAGTGTATCCTGATAATTTGTTGATTTCTTAACTGGTGTTAATATTTCTTTCTTCCTTTTGTTCCTACCCTTGGCCACTGCCACCCACCCCTCAATTCAGGTACCAACGAACCCTCTGCCCTTGGCTCAGAATGGTTATAGCAGAAATACAAAAAAAAAAAAAAAAGTCTGTACTAATTTCAATATGGCTCTTAAAAGGAATGACAGAGAAATAGGATACAAGAATTTTGAATCTCAAAAGTTATCAAAAGTAAAAAATTTTGTTACCAAAAGTCAAACTGCATTCTCAAAACTTTAAATTTGTGAAGAATGACAACAGTAGAAGCTTTCCTCTCCCCTTCTCACCTTGAGGAGATAAAAATTCTCTAGGCAGGAAAAGAAATGGAAGCCAGTTAGAAAAACATTGAAATAAGGCCAGGCACGGTGGCTCACACCTATAATCCCAACACTTTGGGAGGCCAAAGTGGGCAGATCACTTGTGGTCAGGACTTGGAGACCAGCCTGGCCAACGTGGTTACACCCTGTCTCTACTAAAAATACAAAAATTAGCTGGGCATGGTGGTGGGCACCTGTAATCCCAGCTACTCAGGAGGCTGAAGCAGGAGAATCGCTTGAACCTGGGAGGTGGAGGTTGCAATAAGATTGTGCCACTGCACTCCAGCCTGGGCAACAGAATGAAACTCCATCTCAAAAATAAATAAATACATATAAATAAATTTTTTAAAAAAGAAAAATATTAAAATAAGGCAATAATATAAGTGGGTATCTGAAAAGGAACAAATGCTTGTTCCTTACTTAGGGTTAGTGACAATGGAAAACAGATAGAAGTAGAAGCTACAGACCCATTTAGGGGCCCCAGCCCCCTGCTCCTCCCCCTTCCTGGCTAAGGAAAGCATGAGCCTATGAGAGAGAAATCCTAGGAAGAACAAGACAGTTGAGACAATGTAGCAGCAGTAGTGGGTGTTGTGTCCTACACTGGATTCGTGGTCTCCTAATAGAAAATCTCTCAGAGGAAATGGGTCCACAGAGACCTGAGGGCTCTAAACAGCTATGAAATCTGCCAGGATATTTCTGTCCATGCTATCTGCATCAGTGAGTTTAAAATGTAATAGGAGAAAAAAAAGAGACAAAACATTAACATAATAATTGATACAGCATAGTTTTGTACAAAGAAACCTAAATCCAAATACTTGACTCAGTATTTTGAAGCTAATATTTTAAACTTTACTGGGTAAAGTATCTGATTGACATTTCTGAACCTTATTTTTCTCATCCACAATGTGGGAGTGATAATATTTTCCTTGCAGAGTTATTGACAGAATTTGAATAATCTTGGTATATAGACAGTGCCTTACACGTAGTATATAAATATATAAGAAAACACTGCAGTTATGTTTATAATGGATTTATTAAAAAGAATGGATCATATTATATGAAAAGTACATTTGTTTTCCTTAGCCCTTTAGTGATTTAGGAGATTCAAGCGTAGACGTAAAAGTGAGTTTCTTTTCATATGTTAACTGGAGGATTTTTTTCTTTCTTGAGAGGCTGAGATTGGGTTGATAAGAGAACTCTTAGGACAAGAAGTTGTAATATTTGACTTCGGTTTTTAACTCTCTAAGGGGTATATTCCCTCCTTATGGCCCATAAATTTTAAGTCAAGGTGAATTATATGCAACAGCAGTTTATCCATATTTACTTTGGGGAGGAGGTGGGGAGACTCCGGGAGAAAATAATTATAAATGCAGACTGGGAATTAGTAAGTGCAGGGAATCTGAACCAGTGGTGATCATGAAAACGTCCATCACAGAACACAGAGGATTTTTAGGGCAATGAAACTACTCTATTTGATACCACAATGGTGAATAAATATCATTATGCGCTTGCCCAAATCCATAGAATGTACAACACCAAGAATGAACCTTAATATAAACTATGGACTTTGGGTGATAATGATGTGTCAGTGTAAGTTCATAAGTTGTAGCAAATGTACCTCTGTCGTGGAGGATGTTACTAGTGGGGGAGGCTATGCATGTGTGGGAACAGAGAGCATATGGGATACATCTATCTGTACTCTACAATTTTTCTGGGAACCTAAAACTTCTCTAAAATAAACTCTATTAAAAAAAAAGAAAAGAAAAGGTCAACAATAATGATCCCAAATATATAAAATTAAAACTGTAGTATAAAAATGGTCACATGAAAATGCATGAATGTGCTAAGAACTTTTCTGCAATAGGATTTAAAATAAATTTTATATAAATTTCAATGATTCATGAGCCAAGAACCCAGCATTCTGGAGGTGTGTGCATTTGTGTGTGTGTGTGTGTGTGCGTGTGTGTGTGTAAGGCTTACATTGAATGGCATTATAACCAGAGTCATACAGAAATACACAAATGCTCCCCTATTTAGAATCCTTCCCCAAGAAATACTGAGGAAAGCAAATATAATGGTAGTTGGATTTTACTGAAAGAATGTATTCAAAAAGTATTTATATAATGTTAAAATAGCATAGTTAAAATTAGTTTTATAAAATAGAGCAAATATATCTTTTTATCAGCTAAAAGTTCAAAGTGAAATCATCATTATTATATTATTATATTATTATTATAAACAGTTATAAATCAGGCTGCATGATTTTAAATTAAATGATTATTAAAAATTGTTATCTGAATTATTTCAGATTACATACATAAAGTATGACTTCATTAATAGGTAATATCACATTGTTCAAATTTTACAAAATTTCCAGTCACAATGGTTCATGCCTGTAATCTCAGCACAAGGTGAGGGTCCCTTAAAGCCCAGGAGATGGAGACCAGTCTGTAGTCCCAGCTAGTAGGGAGGCTGAGGCAGGAGGATTGCTGCTTGAGCCCAGGAGTTCAAGGCTGCAGTGAGCTAGGACTGACTGCACCACTGCACTCGCTCCAGCCTGGGCAACACAGCGAGACCCCGTCTCTAAAAATAAATAAATAAATGAATGAATGAATAAATAAAAATTACAAAACGTAAAAATCACGTAAAATATTTCAGGTTTGTACTTACCACATACAAACTAGAGATATGAAGAATTAAACATTACAAATAAAGCACTTCACACACAGACTGGCCCATAGTAAGCAGTTTATAGAAATTAACAAATTTGTGTTATTGTTATTTTCTGGAGTCCAAGACAAAATCCCATGATGAATGACACCACAAGGATGTAAGCAACAAAATTCAGAATATGAGAAGTTCTACTAGATTAAATAAAAAGATTTCTCCAGCAAACAATTTGCAAAAAAAGTTAAAAATAGAGAAAAGAAAAGCTATACACTTGAAAAAGACTGAAGAAATATAGTAACCAAATGCTGAGCTTTGTCTAGATTCATATTCAAACAAAACATCTGTTAAAAAATTTATATGAGGCAATCAGAAAAATTGACACTGAGTGTATTAAGGAATTATTTATCTCGTTTTAAATGTGTTAGTGGCATTGCTGTTATGTTTCTAAAAAGCCATTATATTTTAGATTTTCATAATAAAAATGTATAAATGAAATATGATACCTAAAAATATCTTCAAAATAATCCATTATGTGCCTGTATGATAACTGGGTGGGTTTACAAAATTGCTCATGAATTGATTATTGTTAAAGCAAGGCTGTTGATACATGGAATTCTTCTCTGTACTATTGCACACAGTTGAAATTTTCTGTAATACAAAGGTTTTTTTTTTTAAATGTATTCAGGAAAGTCCCATAAACATAGGCAGACAAGCATTCTGTTTGAAGTTATGTTAGTTTTTCAGTTTTTCTCATTTTTATCACATTTAGGAAACCCTGTCCAAGGCCTGCCCAAGACTGTAAGAACCTCTCAGGAATGCAACTGTAAAGAATGTGTATGCAGGAACTAATAATAACAAAGGAAAGCAAAGTAATGCTTGCTTTATTATTGGCTGGACTAAGCCCCCAGACTTGTTTATATATTCACTAATTCATCAAAAATGCAAAAATGGTCATTGAGTCCCAGTGCTACAATAAGTACTCATAGTTTGTTGAATGTTATTAAAATAATGTGAAAACAATTACATTCATTATCTTCATAGAACTTACACTCCAGTGGGAGGAAAATACATATATTACATAATTCCACAAACATAGTTACAAGGTCTGAAACATTTATAAAGAAAAAGAATGAGGTAAAATGAGAGAGTGTTGCACAGGGACCAGGTATGATTTGGGGCAGTTTAGAAGTGGCTTGAAGAAATGTATCTTCAGATGAAATAAGGTGGTATACAGTAGGTAAAGGACAAGGTTGAAGAGGCCAGAGCAAATGTTTGAGAAACTCTTACAATATGAAAGAGAAGATGAGAATAAAATAACATGAAAATTATCACAGATTTAATAGAGAAAGTTCATGTAACAGCAAACAAGTTTAAAGTCATTCTAATTAGAATTCTTGATCTGTAAAAGTAATAATAGAATGCTAAAAACAATTGGAAAATTTAATAGAAAGATTGGAAAATTAAATCAAGAAAATCTCACAGTAATTTAAAAGGCAAAAAAAAAAATATAATATATGGTAGAAAAAATAAGATGGAGAACAGACCAAGGAAGTCAAACATCAAGTGACAAAGCTAGAGAGACCAACAGGGAAGATGAAGGGAGAAAATGATCAGAACAAATAATAAGGGAAAATTTTCCAGATATAAAGGATTTAATTCTTCCATGGAATAGTCTTGTCAGGTATTTAGCAAAATTAACAGACTCACTTCTAAATATCTCATTTTCAAAATTTCAGAACTTCAGGTGTTATAGAAAAGTCATAAAATATTCCAGTGGCGGAAACCAAAATGAAACAAACTGACAACAAAAAAAATACTTCTATTATTAAGATAATGAGAAAGTCCTTGAAGTTCTAAAGGAAAATTATTTTTTATTAATAAATGTAGATCTTTTCAAAGTCACAATCAGGCATGGAGAAAGAATAAAAATACCTGTGAATGTGAAAGGACATAAAATTTACCTACCACGCAGAGTTTTACTAGAAATTGACTAAGGATATGACCAATTGAGATTGTTAATCAGGATATAGGAAGGTAAGGAATCCAGGAAACTGGGTTTAACCCAGGATCTCACTGAAAAGGGATCCTACTACAGCAGTTTCTTGGCAAGCAAAGAATACCTGACTACATAAGTGATATTTAGAAAGTGATAAACTTTTTTTTTCAAATTTAGAATTAATCTGTGAGCAAAGCCCAAGGAATCTTATTGCTACAGCAGAATGTCAATATTTTCAGCTTTGACAATATTGGGGGAAAAAAAAAGATGTAGATACTTAATTTTGGCAACTGGAAGCGTAAAGGAGAGGGGAAAGGGAGGGTAACAATGCCAATAACTTCATCTTCCAAGAAGGAGGGGAAGAGGCATTGCCCATACTTACAGAAGTCACAAAGATCAATATATTTAAATTACAATCACAACTGGAAAAAGTATGTAAAATGACTCATGAATTAGAGCAAGGTTTTAGAAATTGGACTATTATTTCAGTTACAAAAAAAATGGACTGTTATTCTTCGGCCTAAGCTATTCAGAAGCTGCAAGAGCCCCTCAGAGTTGGCCCAAATTAGAGCAGGCTTTTATACTCCTATACTGACCAATCATTATAGGTGAGTTCCTCCTGGGAAGTGGATCAAAATCCGATGAGGCAGCTTTCATCACCAAAGGCAATTCCGGGGCATGACTGACAGCTGAGGGCAGTCAGCCAGCAACATTCCCAGCAATGACAGAATAAATCGTTCAGTCTCAAAGGGAGGAGTTTAGGTACAGTGGAACAGCACCGACGGCAGAAACACTGTTCTAGTTCCTGGGAGTACATATACATTCATGTGGAAGAAAACAAACAGATAAAATTCAGCATCTATTTAAAAATTAAAAATAAAACTACCACATGATCCAGCAGTTCCACTTCTGGGTACATATGCAAAGGAAATGAAATCTGTATCAAAGAGATATCTGCACTCCCGTGTTTATTGCAGCACTATTCACAATGGCCAAGAGATGGAATCAACCTAACTATCCATCAGCAGATGAATGGATAAAAAAAATGTGGTGCATATACACAATGAAATACTATTCAGCCGTATAAAAGAAGGAAATCTTGTCATTTATAGCATGGACGAACCCATTGGACAGTATGCTAAGTGAAATAAGCCAGGCACAGAAAGACAAATACGACATGACCTAACTTACATGCAGAATCTTAAAAAGTCAAAGTCATGGAGGGGGTGGGGTGTGGGGAGAGGGAGAAAAAGGAATGAGATGTTGGTCAAAAGGTACAAGTTTCAGTTAGAGAGGAGGAATAAGTACTGAAGATCAATTGTGCAGCATGGTGACTAGTTAATAATATCATACAGTTGTCCCTTGGCATCCATGAGGGATTGGTTCTAGGACCCTTCCTGGATACCAAAATATAAGAATGCTCAAGTCTCTTATTAAAAATGGCTTAGTTTTTGTACATCACCTAAGTATGTTTTCCCATATACTTTAAATCATCTTTAGATTACTTATAATACTTAATGCAATGTAAATGCTATGTAAATAGTTGTTATACTGTATTCTTTTAAGCTGTATTATTTTTATGTTGTATTGTTGTATTTTATCATTTTTTCCAAATATTTTCAATCCATGGTTGACTGAATCAGAGGATGCAAAACCCACAAATACAGGGCCAGCTGTATTGTATATTTGAAAATTGCTAAGACAGATTTTAAATATTCATACCACATAAAAAAATAAGTATGTGAAGTGATGGATATGTTAATTAGCTTGATTTAATCATTTCATAGTGTATACATATATCGAAATGTCAATTGTACCTTATAAGTACTCAATTATTTGTAAATTAAAAATAATTTAAATTTTTTGAAATGTAACATTCTTAACTTTTTCTTGTTCAAATAAAGTTTTCTGTTCTTTATTTTCAAAAACTTTTTTGTTTAAAAATATCATCTCAATCATCTCAATTTCTATTAACTCAATTGATTCACCCTATTAACTTATGAACTCTCCTCTGAAGTTAAACATTCCATGATTATTGAGAAGGGTAAAGTTAATGTGCAGTAAGATCTTAGCCCACAGTAAAAAACAAATCTTAGTGATGTCACTTAATAAAGAGACTTAATTCCACAGTTTCTCCAGTGACTCAGGTTATATGGAGTTTCCAACGTCTCATCGTGCATCTACTTGCAAGTTCCATTGGCTAGTATTAGTCAAATGATCCCAACCTAACAGCAGAAAAGACTGGGAGATGTAAAGAACCTTATGGCATATTGACGAGCAACATTGTCTCTGAAAGATATGCTGATATTTCCTAAGGTAAGGACAAATGCTAACAACTGGCAGGTTGTTCTCTAGAACACCCACATACTTTCCTCCAAGTTATATGCCGACTAAGACTCAATTCTTCTTGTTAGCAAACTTATTTATAAAAAATGTACTTGTTACTTTAATTATCAATTAAAGATTATACTACCCAATGAAATCTGGGTGCAAAAAATAATTGTTTCTATGAAACTGTCAGTGGAAGAAAGGGAAAAAGACTTTGATCCTCTCATAACCAGGATGTGTTCAGTGTGACAATGTTGAACTGAATGTTCTAGAATCTGTGTTGGACTGCATTAAATACGGTCATAGGCTGCATGCAGCCCGCGGGCTGAGGGTTGGAAAAGCTTGTCTGCCTTAATGACAAACCCAGAGACTGACATGTAGACCATCTTCAGGGCTGAGCCCACATCAAAGGGGTCACAGTGTGTAGTGACGTCCCTCATAACCGGGAAGAGGGTGTCATCAGGAATGAACAGGTTACGATGTCAATGACAAAGGGAGCTCAGACAAGGAATGAGATGGCTGTGAACAGGTACCCCCACTGAGGGACCCTAGAACCAGAGGAAGCTCTGCCGTTTGACCTGTGTGCTCCACAAGAAACAAACTTCCCCTACACCACTCTACTGTGAGGAGGCTCTGGAGGCTGAGGTGTTCCACATGGCTGGTGTAGACATCTGCACACTGGAAGTCATTTCCAGCATCAGAAGGATCTGGAAAACCCAGTCCTCCTTCCTAATAAGAGGGATGAGCATGCTGGCTGGCAGCATCCCGTGCACAGGATGGTGTGTTTGGGAGGTGTGCATGTTACCCAGGCTTGGACAATCAGAATCTTTCCCCAAATTATTAAAACTCTGGTAGACACTTCAGAAACATATACAACAAAGACAGACACACACACACGCACGCACACACACTCAAACGAAGAGAGACATGAGATAAGGTGTGAGGTAATAAGAAAGATGCAGAAAATAAAGAGATGCAAAAAGAAAAAGAGAAAGAAATGCAGATAAATAGTGCCAAAGGATTACAAAAATAGAGAAAGGCAACAATGCAGTGAAAGAGACACAAGAAGGGAACAAAGACAAAACTGGAGAGAGACACACAGAAAGAACTACACAGGGACAAAGAGACACACGGAGAGGAGAGGAGGATGCACAGATGGAACTATAACAGAAAGAGAAGAGAGAGATGAAGATCTCATGGAATATCTGGAACTAGTCACTTCTGAAACCAACATTCCTTGTAACATGAATCAAATATCTTTGGGTTGGGTGTCTATCATTTGGAACCAAAAATAGTACTTTCATTCCTGGTTATGCTTTCTTAAAAATAAAAATTAGCCTTGATTGATGTGACTTGCCAGCCAGAATATATTTGAAACATCAGTCACTATAATTGTCCCCAAACAATTCCACCATGCTTACTTAGACAACACTCGCCAAACCGGAAGAGAGGCTGGGATGTCCTAAGGCCATTGCACTGAACATCAATATTAAAGAACCATGAATGATGTGATGACTGAATTGATTTTCTACCTCCTCTGCCTACCCTTACTTTGCACCCCAAGATGCTTTCAGTGTCTTTTCAAAGTACAACCCTCTTTCTAGCCACGGTTTGGCTGGGTCACCTCAAGGTATGTTCCTTCACTTGGCAGTGGTTTCCTACCTCTGCTTAGTTAAGGAAGTTCCGAACACAGATAACTCAGAATCAGGTTTAATTATGGGAAAAAGCACTAAAGTTAGGTAAATGATTTTGTTTGTCATGCTTCTCTTGACAGGTCTGTGGGGGGAGAATGGAAACAGAGATGCCCCTTGGGGCCTGAGTAGACACAGCTTGCAGTGCACAGGCAGAGGCTCTGGGTCAGTGCAGGAAGCAGAGTCACCGCCAGTGCCTTGGGATGGGGATCACAGAAGGTGACCTGTGGCTGCATGAGCCACTGTAGGACTCTGACCTCAGTGGGACAGGATGACACAGGCAGCTAGGAATTCTGGGCAGGGGCAGGTGGGCATTACAGAAGAGTGATGACCAATCCCAGACAAAAGTCCTCAGGAGTCAGTGCAGGAGTCCTGGAGAAGAGAGATGAGGCATGATCAGCACAGGGTACCCTGAGGGACACACCCTCTCCCCCAGTCCTGAGTTTCCTCTGCAGCATCAAACAGAGGATGCTGAGGTCCAGGGCATATCATCATCACGTTCCCCAATATCTGTGTAAAGGTAAAATCAGCTCATGAGGACACAGAACTTCAGCTTGATGCAGATATGTGGAGGTGGGGGAACAGCAGTTACCCTTCTGGGTAATATGAAGAGTTTGATTTTTTTAGTAAATTGGGTGACACTTCATCTCCACCACTAGCAGCCTCTTTTAGTCACTGAAAATGCCTACAGGCAGTAGCTAACAAAATGTGGCACAAAGTGGGCATCACCCTACTATCTCACATTCAAGATGTGGCTCTGTCCCCACATTTCACAAAAAGATGCCACCAAAGTTAAGGCCTGGTTCTAGGAAACAATCTCTGGAGATTCGTAGAAACTGGCAAACTTCTCCCCTAAGTCTTAACCCTCATAGCAGCAAACAGGCCATGAACAGAGACCACTGTGCCCTGGAACACTCCGCTCATGCTCTTCTTTTTTTTTTTTTTGAGACAGACTCTAGCTCTATCGCCCAGACTGGAGTGCAGTGGCGCCATCTTGGCTCACTGCAACCTCTGCCTCCTGGGTTCAAGTGATTCTCTTGCCTCAACCTCCCAAGTAGCCGGGATTACAGATGCACACCACCACGTCCAGCTAATTTTTGTATTTTTAGTAGAGATGCGGTTTCACCATGGCTCTTCCCTCTTATGCCTGTGCCCTCTCCCCTGACTGGATCATGGCTGAAATATTACCTGCAGGTGGAGGCCCTCGAGGTCCTACAAAAGGAAGTTATACAGAGAAAGGTCTTGTTAAACAAACAACCACTATCTTACCCCAAAGGAAAATGACACATGTAGTTTAATTGGGGTTATATCCTCTTCCCTCCCGTGTTCTTTAAGTCCTTAAGCACCCTAAGTTAAAATCCCCCAAAACAAAGGAAATTGTCACTAGAAGACAAGGAGGCCGAGGCTCTGACCCTCTTAATGGAGGAAGCTTTTAGAAAGGAGCCAGTGAGACGATGATGAACGGTAAGGACGCCCTGGAATAAGCTCTATCAGTCAGCTCTGGCAGCGCTACCATTCACCCAGTAAAATCAGATTCCAATGCCTCCTCCAATCTTGTCCTGTCTCCTCGCACTTCCTCTCAGGGTAAGGAGGAAAGAGCTACATCTAGAGACAGAACCTCTCTGAATAGAGGGTCTGGGTCACAGCCCATCTTCCCCCATTTCCCCCTTGGGTTCCTCACCTTTCTGACCCCTGTGACGGATGATAAGGCCCAGCCCGAGGAAGATCAGCCCCAGCACGAAGCCTCCAACACCACCCAGCATCTTGCTCTGGGCAGATTCAGACTGAGCCCCTAAGGAGCAGAGCCTGAGTGTGAGTGTTTGTCCCCACACCCCATAATGTCCTTGGTACAGGAGGTGGAGATGTCAGGGGACACTAGTTCTCCAGTCTGACCACCCTAGGGAAGAGAAAGACCAGCCAGTAGGTCTTTGGACACAATAGGTGGGTGAGGGAGAGGAGGAAGCACACCCCTGCCCCTCAGGACTTCATCCATAACCTTAAACCCTAAGGCCCCAGTCACCAGCCCTAAGTCAGTCTCTCATAGCTGTCAGAGCTGGTTCTGGGGCTTTAGTAGTGTTGATATGGTTTGATTCTGTGGCCCCACCCAAATTTCATGTTCAATTGTAATTAACAATGTTGGAGGTAGAGCCTGGTGGGAGGTGACTGGATCATTAGACCAGATTCTTGTCACCATCTCCCTTAGTACTGTCATTACAATAGTGAGTTCTCATGAGATCTGGTTATGTAAAACTGCGTAGCACCAACCCCCTCTCTCTCATGCTCCTGCCCCTGCCCTGTGAGACACCTCACTCCCTCTTTTCCTTCTGCCATGATTAGGAGCTTCCATATGTCTCCCCATAAGCAGAAGCCACTATGCTTCCCCTACAGCCTCAGAATCATAAGCCAATTAAACCTCTTCTCTTTATAAATTACCCATTCTCAGGTATTTCTTTATAGTGGAGTGAGAAGAGCCAATTAAACCTCTTTTCTTTATAAATTACTCAGTCTCAGAGATTTCTTTGTAGCAGTACAAGAATGGACTAACACAAATGTGGAAAGTGATCTCCCTGGTATCTGGAAAGACAAAGAGATCAGGATTCATCTGATGTGCTTGCCATGGGGCAACAGGTGCTCTAGTCTCCTGTGATTCCCAGCTCAGTAGTGATGTCAGGGACAAGAGATGGGATGGGAAGGATCAGCGGGAGCTCTTCCCTTTGTCTTGTGGGGCCCACAGTAAAAGGAAACCAGTTTCCCCTTACGCCACTCCACGGTGATGGGGCTCTGGAGGCTGGGGTGCTCCACTTGGCAGGTGTAGATGTCTCCACGCTGGGGAGTTATTTCCAGCATCACCAGAATCTGGAAGGTCCAGTCACCATTCCTAATGAGGGAGGTGGACACAACACCGGCTGTCTCCTCCTGGTCATTCCGAAACCACTGGACTTTGATCTGGGCTGGATAGAAATCTGTCACTGAGCAGACCAGCAGGTTGTGGTGGTTGAGGGCCTCTGTCCTGGATGGGGAGATGGTCACTGTGGGCTCCACTGAGGGCAGTAACAGACAGGGAAAGATATAGGAGTGAGATGTGAGACCACACAGCACGCCTGCTGTGAGGAAGGTCCCTCCTTGGAACCAGAATGGAAAGATACCTGGAGTCCAAGTCTTGGATTAAGGTTCCTTCAACAAATATAAATTTGACAATCACTGAGAATCCAAAAATAAACAACAAACCCTGGTTCCTGCCTTTATAGAACTTGCAATCTAGTAACAGAGACCAAAAAATTGAATGTTATTTCAAAAGTTTGTAATATTTGAAGGAAAAGTAGGCAGGCCTTGAAAAAAACGAACACTGATCAAACATCATGTTTGCCCATAACTCAATTCCTTTATCTTCTCAGAGCGGTGCTCATGGTCAAAAATGACACACCTTTCCCTGCATATTTTATACATCTTAACCTTTGCCTCTCTGGCCATTTTACTGCATTTCCTTTATTTCTTTAGTGTAAAATTATAGTAAATATTTAATGTATGCTTTATTTACTTGGTAATATGTTCTCTCATTTTCCTGCTTTTTCTTAATTTCCTTTTAACCCTCAAGATAGTGTAATTACTAGCTGCCTACCCTACTCCATCCCCTTGCTATTGAGAATTACTTTCTTGTTCTGAAATCAGACATTATCATGTACGTTCTCCATAGGAAATATTCTGAGATCCATGCAGAGGTTGGCCTGGGTGAATGTGCCTGTAATGCAAACATATACATATAGCTGGGATTTGCTGAGGTCAGCAGGTAGCACCCCAATTAAATGGCACTCTTGAGCCATTGTCTGGAAGGAATCTTGGTTTCTGCTTGGACTTGAACTTTTCTTTAGGCCCTCCTTCCTGGAGTCTGACTGAAATAACAGTCAGCTATGTGGGGACTTACAAGATTTGTTCATCTTAAAAAGACTGAAAGTAAAAATAGAGGGCACAAATTCATGAGAAAAAAATGATAGAATAACTTTTATAGAAATAGACTTGAAATGGCAAAAATATAAATACTTGACAGCATTAGGATGTGGGTCAGAAGAAGGCAAGGAAGTTTTGTGAACCTGCATAGATAACACTGGGGTCAGACTAGGGATTGATTAATCAGTGAATTTTCAATGCCTTGAAAGTATCATTTTGTCCCATTAACAGTGAAAACAGGCAGGAATAGACCCATTGCTGCTTCTTGTCAAAATTGGCTTTAACAAGGCTTTACTTCCCTTAGGCTGTGTAGACGAGTATTGAAGAACATAAAAGAATGCTGTGTATTTGGGGGAGGCTTCAGGTCCTGGTGCATAATTGTGGGTTGATTACTTAAAGTGTTTATCATGTACCAATATTACGATATATAAAGTGGCAATGCTAATCTCTAATGCACAGGTAACTGTGCTATTAAATGACATAACTTAGATGGTGTTTGCTAAGGCAATTGTCTAGAAATAAGTGCTCACTAAGTGGGTAAAATTGACGTTCAGAATGTTTATCCCTGAAGTGGATAGTGATGGGGGGAGGGAGAAAATCTACTCCAAAAGCAACCTGAAACTATTTTTATTCAATAATTTAGTGGCTTCAATCTATGTATTCCAAAGCTTCTGCTCTTTTCATTGTGCCATTTGTTCAGCTTTTCTAAGAAATTAAAACTGCCTTATAACACCATTCAAGAGTTGTTTTTATTTTCAGCAAACACCTTTTTCCCTAGACTGCATTCACAAACCTTACTAAGATCCAAGTCAATAAGAGTTTAAAGCATCAAGCAAAATAATAGAAAATAATTGATAAAGTCCATCTTTAAGGCTCTATTTATCCTCTGCTTTCCCTTGAGCCTAAGTGGATGGGCAGCTGAGTACATTTATTCATTAATTTAACAGAAGATCATTGAGCTCATACCACATGCCAGTCCACGAGTCAGGTACTAGGCATGCAATGATTAAAACACTCTCACCTCAAAGAGCTCCGCCATGAATGAGAGCCGTTTAAGAAAACAGAATTACGATGAATAATAATTTGAAGCCAAAAGTTAAAATATCTTATTTCACAACTGTAATTGCTGGATGCCCTGCGCGCAGTTGTGGAGCAGCCCTAACTCCACCAGGCCAAACCTGAAGCTTCCTGCGGCGCGAGCTGTGCAAGTGGGCCTTGCTGGGTGGGGCAGTGCTAGTGGGGCGGGCGGGCAGGGGAAGAGGGCGGGCATTCGGGCAGAAAGAACTGCTTAGCGAAGGTAAGGCACGAGGAGGCAAACGCATAAGGCACAAGGCAAGAACATGCAGAGCAGAGGACAAGGCCGATGGACGGGGAGGCTGGGGACACACTGGGCAGCCTAACCCAACCCTGCAGGGAACTAAGGGATGCTTTTGTGCATCCCCCTGCTCTGCCCTAGATCCCCGCCCCTCCGATACTACCCCAGCCTCCAAATCCCCGCCACCTTCCTGTACCCTGGGATGGACCAGGGCTCGGTCCTTGAGGCCGCGCCGTCCTCGCCCCTCTGTGCGCAGAGACTCGGGCCCCGGCCAAGGGTGAGCACCGCGGAAGGACGACGACGCTCACCTTGCCGCTGCAAGGTCGTGCGTAGCTCCGCCTCGTAGTTGTGTCTGCACACCTTGTCCACCGCGGCCCGCTCCTGCTCCAAGAAGTCCTTATAGTTGTTCCAGTCCTCGATGCTCCGCCCCAGCTCGGTCACCGCCTGGAACTCCCCAACGTCGCTGTCGAAGCGCCCGTACTCCTCGCGGTTATAGATGTATCTGGCCACACCCCGCACGCGCTCTGTCCCGTTGGTGAAGTAGCACATGCCCTTAAACTGGACCAAGAAATCCTCTGCGGAGAATCACGGCGGGTCAGTCAGGCGCCAGCACGGCCCTAGCCCCAGCCCCCAGCCGGACCGCACCCTTCAGCCGCTGCCCTGACCCGGCCAGCAGCTGCGAAACCCGTCCAAGCGAAATTGAGTTCTTGGCTGGGCCCGTGCCTCGTGCTCCGGACCTGGGATCCTCGAGACATCTCTGCCCCAGCCCTGCCCGCCCTCTCTGAGGGCCTCGGGAATCTGCCTTCCTTTAGGGAGGTAAGAGGGAAAGCCCAGTCCCTGCCTGAGCCTGTGAACCAAGTGAAGAGGGCAGTCGGACCGATTCGACATTGACCTCTGCTCTTAGATCAGGGCGTTCTCGTATGAAATCCCATTTTCCATGGAGCTCTTGGGAATCTCAGAGACAGAGTTATCCACATAAATTTGAGAGTTCAAGGGAATAACGAGAAAGGTTCAGGAATTAAGCTTGTTCTCATCCTGATGTAAGTATTCTCTTGGTCCCTGGGCAAGAGACCAAGTAAACCCATGCCTGGATTTACTCTCTTTCTGCTATACCCGCCCAAGTGCCCTGTGAGGTTCACTCACTTCTGTGTTAGAAAGGACCTACACCTCCGGAGTCCTAGAAGGAAACATTTATTCATGGAAAGAGCCCAAGCTTTTGAATTCTATAGGGTCCAATTAAACTGAGTCAATCACCAGCTTGGGCAGGTTACTTAACAGAATATCCATATCACAAGTATAATTACATAAAAGGAAAATCATGATACCTACACATAGGATGTTAGGAGGAGTGAGAGAGGATTTATAGAAAGTACTGTCCTGTGTCTGAATGGAGTGGTTTCTCAATATGTATTATTTCCCTTCTTTACTTCCTCCTTCCTATCATACTAAATTCAGTCCACCATCAACTCAGGTCCCTGAATCCCACTCAAGTCACCTTTTGCCCATAAATCAGTGAAACCCAAAGTAAGACTCCCTGTCTGTGGTCATCCAGTCACCTTCCCTCAGTACTAAGAGTTTGCCTCCACAAACTCTCCACTCGAGTCAGTAGTATAGACTCCTTTACCTCCAATACAGAGACTACAGACACCATTGCTGCCTTACATTTTCCCAGTGCAGAAAAATCCTACTGTGTCTTTGGGGAAATGCATATCTTTGGGGAAATGCATAACCGTGGAGTGCCATGGTCATTTTGTCCTGTCACAGGTAGTGAATGCACACTTTGTCTCCTCTTTCCTCTCTCCTCCTTCAGGATTAAACCTGTGGGATTGGGGTTGGATTATCCTCACCTCACCCATTATAAGGTGGAAATAAAAATGCAACATAGCTCTATTTCCCAAAAAGAATAAATGGTGATAAAAGACTGTGTTCTGAGATCATGGAGATCACCATCCCCCATACTCCAACCCAAGGAGAGCCTGTTCCCACAGTGGTGGCTCTCGAGAGCAGCTGCCCTGCACTTACTGGGAAAGTCTCTGGCCTCAGCCACTGGGGTGCTCAGCATCACCAGCATCACGGTCACAGCTGCTGCCCAAAAGCCTCCAGGGATCTGCAGAGCCATCTTCCAAGACATAAGTGAGACCAAGGAAAAAGCAGTGGTAGTCAACACAGCTCAAACCTAATGGATCTTATGTACCTGCCGGAAAGAATAAAAACCTCTGGATGTTTCCATGTGTGGTAGGATTGGGGAGTCCCTAGGAAAGGAACCAATCAGCACTGGAGCTGAAGGACCTCATCTGCCTCTGGGCAGACATTTTTCTGTGAAGATTCTCACTCCAATGCCTGGCACTGTTTCTTCTTCAAATTGCACTAGATGAACATTTGAGGTGAAGATTTCTGAATAGCTGAAGATTGAATGGCTTAGGGGTTTTAAGAAGCAAAAGACAAATGTGATTCAAGAGTAGACATCTTACAACCTATTGTTCTTATACTTGGGAGTTTTAGTAGGGCAAATTAAGTGAGGATCATATTTCAGGGAACAGAAAATTGTCACAGAAATGTTCACTTCTATTAGACACTCTGAGGAGCCTTAAGTTTTGGTGAGAAGAGCAAAGTTCTTAGAAGGAAATGATGGTGAGTTGCAGTTCTACCACTAATGTGCTTTATGAGAGTCAACAAATTACTGAACTCCTTTTCACCCCCAGGCTTCTCTTTGCAAAATGTGGATCATGTTTTATGCATTTTACATCTAGATCTTCACATATACAAATTTAACATTAATATGACTAGTTTAATATTACAAAAGCCTCCTCCACTGTTATGTGTAACTATCAAGCTAATAGGAGGAACAAGAAAAAAAAAAGTTGACACCCAGCCCTACTGGCAAGTGATTCTTTATTATGCAAGAAGGTATTGCATTCATGCTCTTCGAGTGAAAGTATTTGTTGACTTTTCTCTTGTAAGTTCTTCAGCTGCTTAAATCCTCCCTGAACCATGAAACAGGTGCATCTGATATGAGCAAAGGCACAATACACAAATTTTACAGTATTCAGACACAGTCACATTTAGTTTTGAAGATAGAGAACAAAAGCTGTGAAGAAGAATTTCCTGGGGGCTGAATCGTATTAATGATGGAGCAAATGTTTAGAGTTACAGGTCATATTGGGCCAGCCCTAAACATCAAATCCAAAATGGCAGAGGTACCAATGTGTTTTTATAAATAAATTTCTTACTTATCAGGCTTACGTTGCCCATGGCTAGGGATAGTACTAATGGTTATAAAGCAATTAAAACAATGCCTGACAAACATTACTGGTAATCCTAACCAAGACAATAAATATCTCCACCTCTCTTCTTGTCTCCCTTCCTCCCACTCTTCCCTGTATATTAGTAAAGTAGAAGATAGAGAGCATCTAAAAGCAGAATATGTTTACCAGGTAAAAAGAAACAGGGAAGAGACGGTAGCAAGAGGTTTGCAATAGTGGCACATGAAAGCATTGAGCCACTCTAATATTCTGTATTATTCTGTGCATAGATTTAGATCACCTGAGTCTGGGAACGTTGTTACTGGGCTTCTAGCAGCAGTGGTGTACTCAGGATCAGGGTAACCCCCAGTCTAAGGAGGGTCTCCACTGGTGCGATGGAAGCATAAAGGAGGAACATCAAACTCAGACCTAGAACGGAACTGGGGGCAAGAAAGAATAGGCAGAGAGGGACCTGAAGATGCCCTCAATGTCCTCTCAGTCCCCACCTCAGCGTCCCTCAGAATAGAGGCCTCTGGCCCACCCCTTCTTCCTGTTCAAAGGGAGAAACTTCCCTCAGGTTTATTCTGGGGCTGTGAGGCAAAGTCTACGTCAAACCTAGGGACTCCCCAGTCTCATGGGCCTCTTCAAACAGACTTTTTTCTTCTTTTCCTTTTTTTTTATTTTCCTTTTTTCTTTTCTTTTCTTTTTTAGGGACAGGGTCTGGCTCTATCACCTAGGCTGGAGTACACTGGCATGATCATGGCACACTGCAGCCTCAACCTCTTAGGCTCAAGTGATCCTCCTGTCTGAGCCTCCCAAGTAGCTGGGAGTACAGGCACACACCGCCATTCTGTCTAATTTTTAAAAAAATTTTTATAGAAATAGGGTTTTGCTATGTTGCCCAGGTTGGTTTCAATGTCCTGGCCTCAAGCAATCCTCCCACCTCGGCCTCCCAAAGCACTGGGATTATAGGTGTGAGCCACCACACCTGGCCACACAGACTTTTCAACTAGCAACGAAAGTGTCAGCTTAGAGCCATTTTCTGACTGGCTAAAACCTCATCTGAGGCCAGGCGCAGTGGCTCACCCCTGTAATTTTCTAGCGCTTCAGGAGGCCAAGGCAGGCAGATCACTTGAGGTCAGGAATTTGAGACCAGCCTGGCCAACATGGTGAAACCCGTCTCTACCAAAAATAAAAAAAATTAGCCGAGTGTGGTGGTGCATGCCTGTAATCTCAATTACTCAGTAGGCTGAGGCAGGCGAATCGCTTGAACCCAGGAGGCAGAGGTTGCAGTGAGCTGAGTTCGCACCATTGCACTCCATTGCACTCCAGCCTGGGGGACAAGAGCAAAACTCTGTCTCAAAACAAAACAACAACAAAAAAAAAACACCTAATCTAAAAGGCTTTGGTTTGGGGCTTCTGCCAGTTGTGTCCCCCTGATCCAGCCTTCTCTACAGTTCTTTGCAATGTTCCTATCCCTGCTCCATTACTCAGGGCAGCCACTATTGGCCTGGCCAGAGGAAGGCAACTCAGACAAGCATCCTGATTCTGAATGCCTCACCCAAATCACCTGCCCGGCCTCTGATGGGGACAGAGCGCTTAGGATGAGACCACACACACCCCATGTGGGAAGATGGGATAAAGACACTGCTGTTATTACGGGTCAAGGTTACACTAGGGAGACTCCCCAGGGCACATTGTCTCTTCTTTCAGGGCAGAAAAAGGTTGTGGACTCCTTCTTTGTGGAATCAAGGGAGAAATCATCTTCCCTGGTCAGCATCTCTTAGAATCTGTGCTTGGTCAGTGCAGTTGAATGTAAACACAGGAGTCATCCTGTCACCAGAAGGGTTATCCAGGACTCTGTCCTGCAATTACTTCCAGAATCAAGAAACACTGTAGAGTCAGAAAGGTTCTGTGGCCTCCTTAATGCCAGTGGTAACAGAAATACAGCCCCAGAATATCATTTTCCTTTAATAAAAATTTATCAAGTAATTATCTCCAAATTTTTCAAAACCTTGTGAAGCTACTTACATATTTCTCTTATATCAACTTTTAGGTAACCGGTTACATGAATTTTTCATGACACATATAAGGTAGGCCTTTTCTCTTTAAACAGTTATCTCTTTAAAATGACAATTTAGAAAATCTGAAGAGAGAGTCTGTAGCATTCAGAGGCTGTGCTCAAACAGTGCCTCCTTCAAGCAAGTAACCATGGGGAGACTCCATAGTGGAAGTCAGGTAAGGACTTGGAGGATACCGCAGGGTGAAGGACTAGGAGTATGGGAAAAGCTTTAGCAGGAAGATAGAAAATCAGATGATACAAGGCATTTGGGACACTTGGGGGAAATGGGGAAGGTGAGTGATCTCTGGCACAGGAGTCCAGAGCCCACCAGTCTCATGGCTTCTCATGCAGTATGGAAATGGCCCTTGAAAACAGAAGAAGACTGGGATGAAAACCCAGGCTGCCTGCTATGGACGTGTGTACAACGGAGCTTTGTTTCCTGATCTGTTTCTACAGGTTTCTTCTTCCAGTCAATCTCATCCATGCATCACCTCAGCTGGACCACTGACGATTTCATCACCCAGAGCTAACCTACACATGTCACTCTTTGCAACATATCTGTTCGTCTCTACTTCTGGTTCCCTAGTAATGCCTGGGATATTTCCAGAGACAACTCTTCCCCAGCTTCTAGATTTGTAGTCATCATGTGCCTTCATTCCCAGACAAACCTTAAATATCTTTCTATGAGATCTTTATAATGTCTTCTTCTACAAGTTCTTACCAGTAGAGAGAAGAACTAATATTCAGGTATGTAAAAAATATTTCAGTCCTATTTAAGCTCATGTCCAAGTACTCAAGAATTCAAGTGTCCAGCTCAGCTCAAGGTCATGGTTCATGCAAAAAAGCAACATTAGTAGTAATATTTTGGGGGGACTACTCATATCCTCAAATAAGGAAACTTAAGATATTCAATTTAAACCTCAATGACATATCAATCCATGCTTTTCAGGATGACTATTATCAAAAAGACAAAAAGTAACAAGTGTTAACAAGGACGTGGAGATAAGGGAACATTTGCACACTGTTGGTGGGAATGTAAATTAGTATGGCCACTAGGGAAAACATGATGAAGGTTCTTCAAAAAGTTAAAATAGAACTGCCATATGATGTAGCAATCCCACTTCCAGGATACAGACAAAGGATTTTAAATCAGTAGGTTGAAAATATATCCACACTCCCATGTTCATTGCAGCATTATGCACAACAGTCAAGGTATGAAATCAACCTGTGTCATTCAGCAGATGAATGGGTAAAGATAATGTATGTATACACAATGGAATTCTATTCAGGCTTTAAAAAGAAAGAAATCCTGGTGTAAGCCGAAAAGTGACTGAGGCAGGTCTCAATCAATTAGAGGTTTATTTTGCCAAGGTTCAGGATGCACCTGGGAAAAACACAAATCACAGGAGCATCTATGATCCATGCTTATTCCAAAGAGGGTTTTGAGAACTTCAATGTTTAAAAAGAAAGAGTAAGCAGGAAGGGAAAGAGAGAGGAAAAAAAAAAAAGGAGGGAAGGTAGGCAATGACACAAGTGGTTACATTCTTGTGAGTCTGATTAGTCTCAGTAAATCTACATTTTACATGTGAAAAGAGGGAGTAGAGGAAAAAGTCACTTATGCAAAAACAATAACATTGTAGAATCTTCCCAAAAGATTCACTTTCTATTCTCACAGACCGACAATTCCACTCAAGTTAATTACTGCAAAAGCATCCTAACTGGTCTTCCTGCCTCTACTTTATAATGTCAACATTGCTCATAAATCCAAGTTAATCTCTCTGAGTATGAGTTTCTTTAACTGCAAAATGAGGATATTATCTATTCCATAGAGTAATGCCAAGGATTAAATGAAGTGGCAAATATATAGCATCTAAAATAGTTTTGAACACATAGTAGATGCTCAATAATAATTTTTTTTAATTTTTAATATAATTTTAATTCAATAGCTTTTAGGTTACAAGTGGTTTTTTGTTATATGGATGAATTGTATAGTGGTGAAGCCTGGAATTTTAGTGAACCTGTTACCTGAGTAGTGTGCATTGTACTCAATATGTAGTTTTTTATCCTTCACCCTCCTTCCCATCCTCCCCACTTTCTTACTCTCCATTGTCCTTTATACCATTCTGTATGCCTTTGAGTACCCATAGCTTAGTACCCACTTAGCTCCTACTTACAAATCAGAACATATGGTATTTAGTTTTCCATGCCTCAATTAGAAGTTGTAAATTTTGATGGAGTCCAATTTATATATATTTTTTTCATTTCTTGCCTATGCCCTTGGTGTTATATCCAAGAAATCATTGCCTAATCAAATATCATGAAGATTTTCCCTATTTTTTTAAGAGTTTTATGGTTTTAGTTTTCACATTTAGGTCTTTGATTCATTTTGAGTTCATTTTGTCTATAATGTAGGGTAAGAGTCCAGTTTCATTCTTTTGTATGTGGACTTCCAGTTTTCCCAGCACCATTGTTGAAAAGGCTGTCCTTTCTGCATTTAATGGCCTGGCACTCCTGTTGAAAATCGTTTGACCATATATGTCAGGATAATTTCCTGGTTTTGATATTGCACTTTAGTTATGTAAGATGTTACAATTGGGGAAAACTGGATGAAGGCTATACAGAATCTTTTTGTTCTATCTTGGTAACTCCCTTTGAAACTACAATTATTTCAAAATATAATGTTAAAAAAGCAAAGCCAACCAAAATAATGTGTTTATCTTTTAACAAACTAATTCCATAAGATACCTAATAAAAATTACCCAATGTGAAATACAAAGAGAAAAGAAGAGCAGGGGAAAAACAAAACAGAGCATCCAAGAGCTGCAGTGCTGTATTGAATGGTTACATCACCTTTGTTTGTTTGTTTGTTTGTTTGTTTGTTTGTTTGTTTGTTTTGAGACAGGGTGTCACTCTGTTGCCCAGGCTGGAATGCAGTGGTGCGATCACAGCTCACTGCATCCCCCACCCTCGCCCCCAACTCAGGCAGTCCTCCCGTCTTAGCCTCTTGAGTAGCTGGGAATACCAGCACCATGCTTGCCCACTTAATTTTTCTCTTTTTGTAGACAAGATCTCCTTATGTTGCCCAGGCTGCTCTTTAGGTTCAAGCATTCCTCCCACCTCAGCCTCCCAAAGTGCTGAGATTACAGATGTGAAACATTGTGCCAGGCTTATTTTTTTAATGTACTTTTACTCTCTTTCTCTCTTTGTGTTTCACTCTGGGTAATTTTTATTGATCTATTTCAAACTCACTGATTCTTCCCAGGGCTGTACCACATTTGCTGATGAGCTTGTCAAATGCATTCTTTATTTTTGTTAATTTATTTTTATTTTATTTCCATTTCATTCATCCTTAAAGCTTTCATATCTCTGCTGAAACTGTCTAATCTTGCATGTTGTCTACCTTTTCCATTAGAGATTTTAGTATGTTAATCACAGTTTATGAAGCAGGTTTACTAATTACCAATACCAAGGGAGGAAAGGGAGGACTTCCACTGCATGGAGAATAGAAAAGATCATCACTATGCCAACCACCAGGAAAAGAGGTCCAGATACTTCTTCCCACTGCATTCTGAGCTACTGTTTATGTCCACCATGCACTGGCTACCTGTTTATCTGAGTCTGGTGAAACAGAACACACTCACACACAAATTATGTGAAGCAGTTTTATTACTTACAAATCAGTAGCAAGGGACAGAAGAAGCCTCAGCTCCATTGTGAGTCAGTCTCCTAAAGCTCAAGAAAGCTGCCCAGGAGAGATGAAGTCTTAACCGCACCAATTACTCTATTATAGCCTAAAGTGTAAGTCACAGCTCAAACTCTTGATCACTTCATTCATATTACATGTTCCAAAAAACAACCACAGGAAAACTTCTCCAACAGTAACTTTGCATGAACTCATGTGTTCTGTCAATCGAGAAAAATGGCAAGTCTCAATCATTTTAAGAGGTTTATTTGCCAAAGTTAAGAATAAGCACCCAGGAGACAGGTCTATACCTTTCTCCGAAGATAATTTTGAGGGCTCTAAATTTAAGGGGAAAGGATAGGGATATTGAGAAGTACACAATTTTCATGTAAGAGGAGGGTAAGGAAAAATAGTCATTCATGCCTTTGTCTGGCTCAGTTAATCTGCATTTTTTTTACATAAGATGACATAGACAAAACGGGGGAAGGGGAACAATTAGATATGCGTTTGTGGCCGGGCGCGGTGGCTCATGCCTGTAATCCTAGCATTTGGGGATGCTGAGGCAGGCAGATCACTTGGGGTCAGGAGTTTGAAACAGGCCTGGCCAACATGGTGAAACCCTGTCTCTACTAAAAGTACAAAAAAAAAAAATTAGCCAGGCATGGTGGCAGATGCCTGTAATCTCAGCTACTTGGGAGGCTGAGGCAGGAGAATCACTTGAACCCGGGAGGTGGAGGTTGCAGTGAGCCAAGATCGCGCCACTGCACTCCAGCCAGCATGACAAAGCGAGACTCCGTCTGAAAAAAAAAAAAGAAAGAAAAAAAAGATATGCATTTGTGTCTTCTGGGCAGGGGCGTGACTACACCTGTAAAGATAAGCTACCAATTTACATTGCCATGGTAAAATTTTAACAGAAACACCTTAGAGTAAAGATCTTGCAGCTCACAAGGACTTTCCTTGTGGACAAAATATGAGGGAGGCATGTAGCTTTTCATTTTGTAGCCATCTTATTTAGGAACCAAAAAGGGGGAGGCGGGTTTTCGCAACCCCGATCCCAGATTAACTTTTCCCTTAGGCTTAATGAGTTGGAGTCCCAAGATTTAATTTCCTTTCATAGTTCTAAAACTATGACCAAGTGTTCATTTCTTCCTGATAGGCACTTAGCACACTGACCATGTGCCTTAAATTGTCCATATGATGCGAAGAGCTATAAATCCATGGAGTCGTAAGTTTGGGGATACCAACCACAATCCATCTGCAGCAGAAGTGGTTCCTTTGGAACCAAGCTTGAACAGGTCTAAAAACTAGGTTGTTCTTCTGGTTTAGTGACAGAGACTACTATCCCAGATGAAAATACAATAGTCTTTTAGTGCTTCTATGCATGGTCATGTCTGTCAGTAGACACTAAAACAATCATAATTCAAGAACAGAGTAAATAGTAACATAGACCCTTCTGGAATAGTTGTCTCTGTCACCAAAACAGAAAAACAAACTAGACTAAATTCAGAGGATGAGGGGAATCAAGAATGGCTTGTGAAGGAGGGAAACAAATATTAGTTACAGTCATAATGACAACTATAATAGTAGACACTGTAGCAAATTTCACTAACTTTCTTGCCTTAATCTTCTAGATCACAATTGATCACTCTTGTACCTCCCTTCTTGAGGAAAAATTAAAATGTGTTAATTTTCTCAGGAAAAAAAATGAAAGGCACCATATTGGACTATGGGAGCTTGGAATTCTGAATCACCACCTGGAGAAAAGTGACTCACAAATCTTCAATATCCTCCTTCTGCTACATTAGTGAGTTATAAACTTCTACTATATTTCAGCCACAATACACTTTTTAGTCTATTTGTTGCAGCAGTTTGGCCTATTCTAATTAGTATAAAAAGAAGAAAAAATAATCATAGAAAAAAATTAAATGAAGAATATAACAATTTTAATAGTTTCTCCTGACTTAGACTCACCTGAAATGATCCTCATTCTTTGTTTTAGGATTAGCAGAGATGTAAGACAGAATTTCATGAAAATATTCAACCTGGTGGATGATGCCAAATTAGCAGTTAGCGTGTGTGCCTGGAATTCAAACCATACAAATCCTCCCTGCCCACCTCTCATCCTATCCTTTAGAGCAGAGCCTGTTTCTCATATATTGCCCCCAAGTCTATATCAATCAAATTAATTTTTATTATCCTGAAAACACCTATAGAAAGACTAACATGTTGAAAGTTATATTTAAATATGGGCACTCTGCTTCATACTCTTTTGCCAATATTACTTCAAAGCTGTACAAACCTATATTCTTTGCATTTGTGGGAAATTATTATATTGTAGATAAGGCTAAAATATTTTGTGAATCAAAACATACTATAAAAAGTTGGAAAGAAAGACTTCATTTGGATGTAAATACATGAAAATAGCAGCCCAGACACTCAAGACAAGAGGAATAATAACTAAGTGACCACAAAGGAAATTTTTTATCACATGCCTGGCTGTTCCAGACAGGGAAGCTTGCTTTACCTGAAGGAAGTGGTCACTAGACCACAATGTAACCAAATACAGGATTCTGCTTTAAAAAAAAAAAAAAAAGATTCACAAAAGTCACGTTCAAGTTAAACCATTAAATACTTTCCTCTCCAACTAATGAGAAGATGTGGGGCCTCATTAATTCTCTCTGGCAGATTAGGTCAATGAATCCATTCCAGAAAAAAAATTATTGAAAAGAGCAATAAATATACAAAATATCAAAGCAGTCATGTGTGCAATCCACAGAAAAGAATAGAAATTTACTTAAGGACAGAAAGAAGTTTAGTAAACAATGATACCACTTTCTTGGACAGGGCAATTTGTGTCACTTTTCCAGACAAAATACATGGACTTGGTGATGCTTTAATCTAAATAGTAATAAGACAGTTTTATTAACAAAATGTTTCTAACTTTCAAGAGCGGTATACAAAAACAACTATTGATAAAAATAAGGAGAGGTACTCTAATAGATGTTTACAAATGATTATAAAGCTAAACAATTAAAACATGTTCATAGTGCCCCAAAAAAAGGACAACTGTGGAATGATATTGGCTGCACATAAACAGAACCTAATTTATGCCACAATTAATGAAATTGAAAATTTTGTTTACAATAGCCCCCTCTTATCCATGGGAGATATGTTGCAAGGCACCCCAAAGGATGCCTGAAGGCATGTACCAAACTCTGTATATGCTATGTTTTTCTACACATACAAACATATGATATAGTTTAATTTACAAATTGTGCAGTCATAGGTTAACAACAATAACTAATAATAAAATAGAACAATTATAACAATATACTGTAATAAAAGTTATGTAAATGAGATCTCTCTCTCTCTTTCTCTGTCTCTTTCTCTCTCCCCTCTTCTCAAAATATCTTATTGTACTAAACACCTATATTTTCACACTGTGATTGATTGACCACCAGTAACTGAAACTGTGGAAAGTGAAACCATCGATAAGGGAGGACCACTGTATTACATTTCTAGGAAGTCGCAAACCCTTTGAGAAAATTTTGGGATGGGAGACAAACATATTTCTAAGAAGCCTTCAATGTTACAGGTTATATTCTTCACTTCTTCAAGGTACATAAGGGCCCACTCTACTCTTCTGGAGTCTATCCAAATTTGTAGGGTAATGGGCTGTAGCTAATGAGGAATGGAACTCAGTGGGATGTAAGGGGTCCAGAAACAAGTTTTTTGAAATATACCTGATTGTCATGACACCAATATGGAACGAAAGAGAAAGCAGCATAGTGATAAGGAAATTATGGTGAGATTTTTAGGACAAGAAGCTATTTTAAAAGAATTTTAAATCATTTTTCTTGGTGTTAGAAATACAATCCTAATTTGATATTTTTCAAGAGGTTGCAATATAATTTGAAGTATTTGAAATGGAGTACGGGGAAATTTGCTCTGGCCTCTCTAAAGAACATCATACTGGGACTGCTTTCAAGGATAGAACAAGTTATCCTGCATTTATGTTGGATAAATTAAGAATGTAGTGCATAATAAAGCAAACTTTTAATCCAGTGGAATAGGAAAAATTACTAAAAATAGTGTTGGGTCAATTAGTGAGTTAGTGGGATAGTAAAAAGAGCCCATACATACACACATACAGAGATTATACTGAGGCAGATTAAAAGTTTAAATGAGAAGGAACTCAGAACTGAGGAGGAACCACCCAGAACATGCTTGCTAGTAACACATCTTCCCACCCCCTTATGAATAATCATGTAAGACTCCCATAAAGGGAGTTTCCCCAGTAACATTCAACACTGTCTCACCCGCACAAGCAACCTGCCCTGAATTGTCTCTTGGGGTGTACTGTTGATTCTGCACCTAACTTTCAGAGTATCCTTTCTCCTTTGCAATAAATTGCTCTATGTTGTATCTCCTTTGCTGTGTGTCTCGTTTAAATTCTTTTAAACTAAGAAGACAAGAACCGAAGTTTCATGAAAGCCATCAACAAAAATATAGAAAAAAAAAGTAAATATTTATTTTATTAAAAAGTGGTGAGATGAGTTTAAATAACAAAACAAAGAAAGAAACCGTACAGGAAAGTATTCTTAGACTATACTAAGAAAAAGTAAAGAATTAATATGTGAAAGGTATATCAATTTTAAGCATTCTGTTTATGTCAAAGGTGCTTATGGTGCAGTATGTAAAATTTAAATAAACAAAGCATATTGTATTAATTTTCTAGCCACTGTCATAACAAATTAGTAGAAACTTTGCAGCTTAAAACAACACCCATTTATTATCTCAGTTTTCTAGGTCAGAAGTCTAGGCAAAGCTCAACTGGGCTCTCTGCTTAGGATCTCACAAGACTGAAGTCACACGCTGACCTTATAATTCTCATTTGAATATGGAGTCCTCTTCCAAGCTCACTGCCTGTTGACAGAATTTATTTCCACGTATGACTGAGGTCCATGTTTTCAAGCTGGCTATCAGCCAGGGATCAGTATCAGCTCCCAGTGACCACTCTCAGTTCCTTGCCACATGGCCCTCTACGTCTTCAAAGTCAGTAATAGGGAGTCTTTCTCATGTTTAATCTCTCTCTTCAAGAAAAGTTCAGTCCCTTTCAAGGGCTCACCTAATTAGTTCATGCTCACCTACAATAATTTCCTTTTCATAAGACTAATTGCAGTCAAAACATAACCCAATCACAGTAGTGATCATACCATTAAATTTACTGGTTACTATTGGGAGCAAGCCCCCCAAAATCTGGCCATAAACTGGCCCCAAATTTATGGCCCCAAATTTATGGCCCAGTTTATGGCTATAAACTGGGCCATAAATAAAATCTCTGCAGCACTATAACATGTCCATAATGGCCCTAACACCCAAGCTGGAAGGTTGTGGGTTTACGGGAATGAGGGCAAGGAACACCTGGCCTGCCCAGGGCAGAAAACCACTTAAAGGCATTCTTAAGCCACAAACAAAAGCATGAGCAATCTATGTCTTAAGGGCGTGTTCCGGCTGCAATTAATTCAGCCCATCCCTTCATTTCCCATAGGAATACTTTTAGTTAATTTAATATCTATAGAAACAATGCTAATGACTGGTTTGCTATTAATAAATATGTGAGTAAATCTCTGTTCAGGGCTCTCAGCTCTGAAGGCTGTGAGATCCCTGATTTCCCACTTCACACCTCTATATTTCTGTGTGTGTGTCTTTAATTCCTCTAGCGCTGCTGGGTTAGGGTCTCCCTGACAAAGCTGGTCTCGGTAGGTTCCACCCACATTTAAAGGAAAGGAATTTTATAAGGTATGTACAACAGGGGGTGATAGATATTCCTGGGGGCCATCTTAGAATTCTGCTTTCCTTCTCACCTCTTCAGCCCTCTGGCCACCTGTAATTCATGTCCCTCTCAAATGTAAAATACATTAATCCCTTCTCAAGGACCCCCCAAAGTCTCATTCCATTACAGCCTCAGATCAAGGCCAATATCCTGTCTAAATCTTGTTAGCTCAAAGTCCAAATTCGCAGTGCCTTCATGCCAAATTACAGGACTTGAAGATGTGAGAATTAGGAACTTGACAGAATATCTAATTATAATTGCTAACAGTCATGAGATTAGTTTATTAATTAAAATCTCACCTGGGAACCAAGTGTATAAATGTCATTGAATCCCTGGGGATAGAGACAGGGAAGCACAGGGATCTGATGATATTCATAGTCACTTAACAAAAAAGACTAGTTGGTATTTTTTTCACCCACACCTAGCTTTGCTGGCATTGAGAAGACACACCTAAGAGAATAATTAATCATACCTACAGGACTCCTTCTTCACCGAGACAGAATAACAATGAAGTCATTATTATTGGTGTCATCTGCACTCTACTTATTTATACTTCATATACTTACATAGTATATACCAGAACACTTAAATTAATTTCATCTCCAATTACTGTATATTCTTTTTTTTTTTTTGAGACAGAGTCTCACTCCATTGCCCAGGCTGGAGTGCAGTGGCACAATCTTGGCTCACTCTGCAACTTCCATCTCCTGGGTTGAAGGGATTCTCCTGCCTCAGTCTCCTGAGTAGCTGGGATTACAGGCATGTGCCACCACACCCGGCTGATTTTTGTATTTTTAGTAGAGACAGGGTTTCCCCATGTTGGCCAGGCTGGTCTCAAACTCCTGAACTCAGGTAATCCGCCTGCCTCGGCCTCCCAAAGTGCTGCGATTATTTTGTATTCTACATGTCGATTTTGCTGTCTTAATTAATTTCCTGATGATTGCAATAGAATACCTGAAACTGGGTAATTTATAAAGAATCAAAATTTATTTCTGGAGGCTGGGAAGTCCAAGAGCATGGTGCCAGCATCTGGTGAGAGCCTCCTTGCTAGTGGGGACCCTCTGCAGAGTCCCATTGTGGTGCAAGGCATCACATAGCAAGCAGGCTGAGAGGGCTACCTCAAGTATCTCTTTCTCCTCTTATCAAACCCTTAGTGCCCCATCACCCCATCCTCATGACCTCATCTAATACTAATTACTTCTCACATGTCCCACCCCTAAAATATCATGGTCTGTTTTCTTACCCTTTTATACTGTTACAATAGGGATTAAGTTTCTACATAAGATTTAGAGGAGCAAACTTTCAAACCATAGCATTTCACCCCTGCAGCCTCAAAACTCATATTCTTCTCACATTCAAATACATTCATTTTATCCCCAGAGCCCCAAAGTCTTAACTTTCTCTAGTACCAACTCAAAAGTCCAAAAGTCCAAAGTCCTTATCTGTGAGCCTGAGATACTAAAGCCAATTATCTACCTCCAAGATACAATGCTGGGACAGGAGAAATGGGCCAGAAGAAAGAAGTAACAGGCCTCAAGGAAGTCTGAAACTCAACAGGGAAAGACATTAAATTTTAAAGCTGGAAATAATGTCTTTTGACTCCATGTTCCTCATCCTGAGCACACAGGGGCAGAAGTTGGGCCCCCAAGACCTCAGGCAACCCTGCCCTCATGGCTTTGCTGGTTGCAGCCCAATATGGCTGTTCTCATGGGTTGGAGTCAGGTGCCTTGGGTTTTCGAAGCTGGGACTGCATGCTGGTAGCTCTACAGTTTTGGAGTCTTGGTGGCAGTCCCACTGTCACAGCACCACTAGATATTTCCCTGGGGAGGACTCCCTGTAGCAGTTCCAACCCCACAGTTCCTCTCAGCATTGCCCTAGCAGAGGCTCTTGGTGGTTGAAGGGGTGGGTCGCCCCTCCACACCTGTGGGTGTTTCTCGTTAGGTGGAACGAGAGACTTGGAAAAGAAAAAGACACAGAGACAAAGTACAGAGAAAGAAATAAGGGGACCCAGGGGACCAGCGTTCAGCATATGGAGGATCCCGCCGGCTTCTGAGTTCCCTTCGTATTTATTGATCATTCGTGGGTGTTTCTCAGAGGGGGATGTGTCAGGGTCACAAGACAATAGTGGGGAGAGGGTCAGCAGACAAACACGTGAACAAAGGTCTTTGCATCATAGACAAGGTAAAGAATCAAGTGCTGTGCTCTAGATATGCATACATATAAACATCTCAATGCTTTACAAAGCAGTATTGCTGCCTGCATGTCTCACCTCCAGTCTTAAGGCGGTTTTTCCCTATCTCAGTAGATGGAACTTACAATCGGGTTTTATACCAAGACATTCCATTGCCCAGGGACGGGCAGGAGACAGATGCCTTCCCCTTGTCTCAACTGCAAGAGGCATGCCTTCCTCTTATACTAATCCTCCTCAGCACAGACCCTTTACGGGTGTCGGGCTGGGGGATGGTCAGGTCTTTCCCTTCCCACAAGGCCATATTTCAGACTATCCCATGGGGAGAAACCTTGGACAATATCTGGCTTTCCTAGGCAGAGGTCCCTGCGGCCTTCCACAGTGTTTGTGTCCCTGGGTACTTGAGATTAGGGAGTGGTGATGACTCTTAAGGAACATGCTGCCTTCAAGCATCCGTTTAACAAAGCACATCTTGCACAACCCTTAATCCATTTAACCCTGAGTTCGACACAGCACATGTTTCAGAGAGCACGGGGTTGGGGGTAAGGTCATAGATTAACAGCACTCAAGGCAGAAGAATTTTTCTTAGTACAGAACAAAATGGAGTCTCCTATGTCTACTTCTTTCTACACAGACACAGTAACAATCTGATCCCTCTTGCTTTTCCCCACAGTGGTGGCCCTGCCCCTGTGGCAGTTTTCTCCCTGGGTTCCCAGGCAGTCTGATACATCCTTTGAAATCTAGGTGGAGATTTCTATGCCTTCCCACTAGTCTTGCATCCTGAAGACCTGCAGAAATAGCACCACATGCATGTGGACATTGCCAAGGCTTACTGCTTGTGCCCTCTGCAGCTACAATATGAGTCACATCTAGGGCCACTTGAGCTATGGCTGGAGCAACCAGGATGAGGGAAGCACTGTCCTGAGGTGGCATTGGGCAGCAAGCCCATGGAGGACACCCCAGGCCTGTCTCCTGAAACCATTCTTTCCTCCTAGAGCTCTGGGCCTGTGATGGCAGGGGTAGACTTGAAGATCTCTAAAGTGCATTCAGTGTTTGTCTCCCATTGTCTTGATGAATAGCTTCTGGCTTTATTCTATTCATACAATTCTCCTTATCAATCAGTCCCTCCTTATCAATCATTCCTTCAGACACACCCTTGGTTTCCTCTGTTGAAAATGCTCTTTCAGGGCCAGGCTGCAAAATTTCCTAATCTTTCCACTTAGCTTCCCTTTTAATTATAAATTCCACCTTTAAGTTATTTTTTACCTCTCACAGCTTTAATGTAAGCAGTTAAAAGTAGCCATGCAGCTGCCTGACTGCTTTGCTGCTTAGATATTTCTTCTGCCATATAGCCTAATAAAACCATCAGATATAGACACAATTCAGAACCAAGTTTTTCACGCATTTATAACAAGGATGGCCTTTACTTCAGTTTCCAATTCCTTGTTCCTCAGACCTGAGACCTCAGCAGAACAGCCCTTACTGTCCATATTTCTATTGACATTCTGGTCCTGACCACTCAAATCATCACAAAGGAGTTCCAGACTTTTCCTAGTCTTCTTGACTTCTTCTAAGCCCTCACCAAAATCACCCTTTATCACCAGAATTGACATTTAAGGCAATACAGGCTTTTTCTCGCCTGCCTTTTTGAGTTCTTTTAACCTCTACCCATTACCCAGTTCCACAGCTGCTTCCACATTTTCAGATATTTGTTATTAGCAACAGCCCAACTTTTTAGTACCAATTTTCTGCCTTAGTCTGTTTCTTGTTGCTTGTAACAGAATGCCAAAAATTGGGTAATTTATGAAGAAACAAAATTTATCTCTTATGGTTCTGGAGGATGAGAAGTCCCAGAGCATGGTGCCAGCATCTGGTGAGAGTCTTCTTATTGGTGGGCCTTCTGCCGAGTTCTGATGAGGTGCAGAGCATCATGTGACAAGAGGGCAAAGGGGTATGGCTCAAGGTCTCTGTTTCTCCTCTCAATGCCCCACCCTCAAGACCTCATCTAATCCTAATTACTTCCCAAAGGTGCCACCTCTCAAATACCATAGTTGGATTTACAGCCCTCTTAATACTATTACTATGGGGATTAAGTTTCAATATGAGTTTCAGAGAAAATAAACATTCAAACCATAGCATTGCCCATCTCTTTTACTCTCCTCCCTCCTCTTCTTTTCTGTACTCCACTGTCCCTGTCCAGAGGTTTTATTTAGCCACTCCACCTCAGCCCATCAGGCTTCCAATCAAAATCCCAGTTCTTCAGTGATCATTCAGATTTATTGTCCTGTTGTAATATCTGGAACAATAACAATCTTCTCAGGACAGTTGTTTTTTATTTGCTTCAGTTCCTTTTGAGAAAGTTATTCTGTGTCTTCTCACTTCCTTATATCTATAGCATACAAGTGTTTGAAAACATTCTCCTCAACCTCCTTTAAAATCATGGGGAGCCCAACCTCAGCTCCTAGCCAGAAGCAGAAAGTCAAAATTTGGCTCTCTTTCCTCCATAGAGCACTTTTGGTTTCTTTCCCACTTAGGAATTAAATTCCCAGCCAATAATGCCTACTTTCAGGCATAGAAGTCAAGACTTCAGCCCTACTCACCATATGCATATCTATCTTATTTGAAGTTCTCAGGAAGAACTTTTGTATCTACACTCATACTTTTTAATCCTTTTTAGTACATTGCTTCATATAGCTTTCTTGGTGGTGGTTGTACTTATTACAATATATACATATAACTTATCACAGTCTACTGGTATTGATGTTTTACCACTTTGAGTGAAGGATACAGTCCGTATCTCTATTACCATTAGCATATTTTACCCTCTCTACTTTTTAAATGCAATTGTATTAAGTATTTCTTCCACATGCATTCCCATCCACAGTTTGGATATTTGTCCACTCCAAATCTCATGTTGAAATTTGATCCCCAATGTTGGAGGCAGGGCCTAATGGGAGATGTTTAGACCATGGGGGCAGATCCCTCATGAATGGCTTTGTGCTAATGTCATGATCCTAATGCTTGTTTTATTCCTCAATGTCATCATTGATTCAACCATAGCTTTTATTTTTAATTTGCTTTTTGTTTGTTTGTTTTCTTTTCTTAACTATTATTTTAAGTTCGGGGTACATGTGCAGTTTTGTTACATAGGTAAACTGTTTCATGGAGGTTTGTTGTACAGATTATTTTGTCAAACAGTTATTAAGCCTAGTACTTATTAGTTATTTTTCCTGATCCTCTCCCTCTTCCCACCCTCCACCCTCTGATAGGCCCCAGTGTGTGTTGTTTTCCTTTATGAATTCATGTGTTCTCATAATTTAGCTCCTATTTATAAGTGAGGACAAACAGTATTCGGTTTTCTGTTCCCCCATTAGTTTGCTAGGGATAATGACTTTCAGCTTCATCCATGTCTCTGCAAAGGACATGATTTTGTTTCTTTATGGCTGCATAGTATTCCATGGTGTATATGTACCACATTTTATTTATCTAGTCTATCATTGATGGGCATTTAGGTTGATTCCATGTCTTTGCTATTGTGAATATGCTGCAATGAACATATACATGCATGTGCCTTTATAATAGAAAGATTTATATTCCTTTGGGTATATACCCAGTAATAAGATTGCTGGGTTGAATGGTATTTCTGTCTTTAGGTCTTTGAAGAATCTCCACACTGTCTTCCCCAATGATGAACAAAACCTCTGAGAAATATGGGGTTATGTAAAGAGACCAAATCTATGACTGATTGGTGTCCCTGAAAGAGATGGAGAGAATGGAACCAACTTGGAAAACATAGTTCAGGATATCATCCATGAGAACTTCCCCAACCTAGCTAGAGAGGCCAACATTCAAATTCAGGAAATGTACAGAACCCCAATAAGATACTTCACAAGACTTTTATCCCCAAGACACACAATTATCAGCTTCCCCAAGGTCAAAATGAAAGAAAAAAATGTTAAAAAATAAAAAATAAAAACAACTAGAGAGAAAGATCAGGTCACCTACAAAGGGAAGTCCATCAGACTAACAGCAGACCTCTCAGCTAAAACCCTACAAGCAGAAGAGATTGGAGGCCAATATTCAATATTCATAAAGAAAAGAAATTCCAACTCAGAGTTTCATAATTGGCCAAATGAAGCCTCATATTGAAGGAGAAATAAGATCCTTTTCAGAAGGGCAAATGCTGAGCAAATTCATTACCACCAAACCTACCTTACAAGAGCTTCTGAAGGAAGCACTAAATATGAAAAGGAAAGACTGTTACCAGCCACTACAAAAACACACTGAAGTACACAGACCAGTGACACTATAAAGCAACCACATAAACAAGTCTGCAAATTAACCAGCTAACATCATGATGACAGGAGCAAATCCACACATATCAATACTAACCTTAAATGTAAATCAGCTAAATACCCCAATTAAAAGACACAGAGTGACAAGCTGGATAAAGAACCAAGATGTGTTGGTATGCTGTCTTCAAGAGACTCATCTCACATGTAATGACACACAGGCTCAAAATAAAGAGATGGAGAAAAATCTACAATGCCTTTTTTCCTTAAAATTTGTTTTTTACATTAATAAATTGATATCATTTTTCAAAATTAGTATTTGCATGATATATCCTTTCTGTCTTTTACACTCAATCTCTGAAATGACTTTTATGCTTTAGACATATGTCTTGTAAACAGTATAATCTGAATTTGTATTTTTGCATTCAATTTGTCAGTCTCTGTCTTTTGATCACAAGTCAAGTCTATTTGCATTTTACTGAAATAAATAACACATATGGACCTTTATATTATCTCACATTTTTCATTTCGGTCTTTTCCATGATTTCAATGACTTTTTTCCTGTTAGCCCATTTCTATAACCCATTCTAGCATGTGTATCAGGCTGGGATGGCAGGTGGATTCATTCTAACCTCTACCTTGAGATGTGTTTTCAGACTCTGTTAAGGTTTACGTTGCTCATTTCTGGCATCCTCCTTCACATAAGAATTACTGATCCAGGCCCAGCCATTTGTAGATTTTGAGACATTGTTCTGGCTGTCTGCATATGGCCTGTCTCTGGACTTAACATCCCATGTCCTCACTCAGACTACATAACTTTAGACCCACCCTATTACTATGGACTCCCTGTCTATTTGTATTTTTTCAGCAAAACGTCTAAAAGTAATTATCAATATTCTTGAAACATTAACTTGATAGATTCTTGTAAAATCACATAATCTATTGAAAATTATATGGGTGCTCTAAACTATACCCCCTGGATAATCTTACCTGTACACAGTTTGAATAGATGTCCTTTACAGCTAGAATAATGATACTAGTTAAAATCAGAGGACTAATCCATGGGTAGATCATTTCAAAATTTACTCTGAGGCTTAAAAGGAAATATATTTTGTAAAGCAAGAAAGTATATTTTCCAAGATCCAATTAGCAATGAAGGCATCCTAATAGTATCTGGGATCCTCACATGTGAAAAAAATAAACTAGATTACAAAAGAGAGGACTTACATACACTTAGTTCTTGCAGGAGGAAAGGAACTATCTAGACGTTGTTATTTTGTTCAAAATAAGTATAAGTACAAAAATCTGTGGTAGTAAATCTAGTGCACTATTCTTACATGTGACACTAATAACCCAAGGAAAAATAATAAAATATTTCTGCTTCTTTTGAAATGAGCCTATCATGGCCTGCATGGAAGTTCACTACTGATAAGCACTTTGTTTCTTTATTCCCTTACTCAGCTTTCCTCTTTTGTAGCTTCATAGCAAGAATCACAACCTAACACTGCATTTTATGTCTGTTTATTATGTGACTTTTTTTAGTTCCTGCTAGAATTAAAGCTCATAAAGGTAGGGACACATTTGCCTTTTTGACTAAGTTATCTGGAATAGCATGTAGCACTTAGTAGGAGCTAAATAATTATTTGACAAATAAATGGATACATTCATTGATGAATTTGATGTCCACATAAAGGCTATCTTTATTTAAATAAACCCGTTATTTCCATGAGTCACTTGCTCCTCCTGCTACATGTAGAGAACTATCATTCAGGATTTCAGTTGAGTTCTAAACAGTTGGATACTTCCACAATCAGGGATCTTCAATTTCTCCACTTGGTGTTTTATTCAACAGAAGTGCCTTTGGACATTCACACTTGATCTTCCAAAACCACATCAGCTTCTAGAACAATGCTTCTAGACAGTTTCTTAGTAACCCCTCAAAGACGTGATTTCACATTTTTATCAATGTATAATTTTATTTAAACTGAAATGACATAATATTACTGTGTCAAATATTATAGAGAAAGTTGGCCATCTTTGCATATGCTATTTTCCATTTGAGTTTCTTCTGTGAATTACTGTTCATCTACTTTCCAATATCTCAACTAGGTTATTTAATCCATTGATTTGAGCAGTACTTTATTTCTTCCTTTGTGTAATATATGTATTGAAATATATCCAAATATACTTCATAACTATGTTGCCCAAATTTTGTAATGCATACTAACAAATATCTACCTGTTATATTCATTTTTAAGAAATATACTAAAATGTAATAACTTGTACTTTTCCCATCCCACTTTGCTTTTCTAAGCAGTATTTATGTATTTCAACTTTTTTTACAGTTTAAATACAATATACTTAGGTGTAGGTTTTCTTTGTTTTTTTTTTTTAAATACAGGGATTACCTACAGAGGAACTAAACATAGTAATATAATAAAATTGCAAGAAGGATGCCAGAGACATAAAATTGTTGGTGGTCTAAATTATCTGCTTTCAGATAATTAGATAACTGATGTCTAAATTAATACCCCACATACACAAAGATACACATATTACCATTAAAAGTCATTGAGCTGGGGATAATGCTAGTGGAGGAAAGGAATGGCATGAAGGGCTCTTGTTTTCATTAAAATACATCTTTATTGTTTAATCCTCAAACTATATACAGGTATCCTGATAAATTTAAAATACTGATTGCAAAATAAAATTTAATTCTTACTGAAATATCAAGAATGCTGCAGATGGTGGCAGAATGCTCAATGTGAAAAAGGATAGTGGCTTGCATTAGAATGACAGCAGCGAAGTTTGTTTTAAGCATGTAATTTTATAGTACCAATCTCTTATCTGTGAAAGCGTGTAAAAGACTGAGCTCTTCAGTTCTCAAACAAAAGCAGACTTTAACTCCTGCTCCAGTCATGCTTCTTTGCTTCTCAAACACCCACAACCACATCTCAGATTGCATCATATTTTGAACACATGGAAGGAAGAGTAAGGGAAATAAGAGTGGCTGGGTTACCACCCTCAAGAAATGCTGATCCCTCAAATCTAGACCTGCCAAGGGGCCAGGAGAGAAGGGAAAGCAGCAGCTCCCTTGAATTTTTAAAGTGCAATGTCCCCACCTACTGGTGAAGATGACCCAGTTAACATCCCTACAGCTGTCAATGTCTTCCTAGGACATTGACTTCTTCTAGTAGAATCAGTGTGCTTCAGCTCAGTTTTACACCAGAAGATAAACAAAATATAAATCCAAGATTTTTGCAGTGCAGTGGAGGTCTCTGAGGGTGTTGCAATGAGAATTTTAAACACAAAGCTAGTTTTAAAATAACACCATAATTAGCAGCCCCTTTCCCCAGTATCTATCTACTCCTCACAGCTTCTGCTCAGATTGTCTTCTCTCCATTGTCTCTTCCATCGCCCTGTACAAATCTCCTCTCTTACACTGCATTTCCTGCCCACACCCTGCTTCCCCATGCGTTAAGTTAGCAGCCTTTTTTCCCTCTTGTTGTTTTCTGCCTTCTGATATTTCAGATAAGAAATCTGTTTCTGGGCCGGGTGCGGTGGCTCATGCCTGTAATCCCAGCACTTTGGGAGGCCAAGGCGGGTGGATCACCTGAGGTCAGGAGTTCTAGACCAGACTGGCCAACATCGTGAAACCCCATCTCTACTAAGAATACAAAAATTATTCATTGGTCATCTACTTGGTGTCCAGCACTAGGTTATTCCTAAGTATCACTGAACTTTGTGATAACGCTGAAGATATGTTTGGAAGTTTCAGGAACCAGAAGAAGAACACGATTCAGGATGTTTCTTCTTGTGACATTTATTTAAATTCTCTGGTTCTTATATTTGAGGTTTGACTGTAGCTGGGGGAGGGTAGGAGAGGGATGGGAAAAAGAAAATGGAAAGATATTCCCTGGAAAAGAAGATAATTGTCTAAGAATTGTTCATTTTTTCCTTGTCTTGGCACTATGAGACACTGGGATATAATATAAAAGGTAACAGATTTTGAGAAAAATGCATTTGTCCCGCAGTTGGAGAATTCGTTAAGTTTGTGACCCTCAACAAATCACATATTCTCTGTTAGCCTCAGTCATTTTAACTTTAAAGTTTAGATAGCTTCCATTTGGTGGGATTAATATTAAGATGAAATGAAATTTTATATATGAGACCTACTAATTGCATATTCTGACAGAGAGCTACAACACCAAAGCTAAGCCCTGTTATGTGCTTCCACAGGGGACAAAATAGAGGCTGTGAAAAGTAGATAGTTGAGTAAAGCTCATCGAATTATTTAATCAGCTACTTCCATTCTTAACCATAAATCTTGCATAACCATTTAGAGGATGCTATCCTGAAAAAGATAATCAGTTTTACAGAGAAGTCTTGGTAGCTCTGAGGCTATTAATAACCCCAGTTACTACAGTAACAACCGGGAGGTGAAACAGATTAATCAGAGGTAAATAGGTTAAAATAAAGGTTATCGGAGTTCTGGGAAATCTCTATCTATCCCAGAGAAGAATAATGCATAATGAGTGATAAAATATTTGATTTTAAAAATTTAAATTACCCACAAATGATCTCCCATTCACAATTGCCACAAATAGAATAAAATACCTAGGAATATAGCTAACAAGGTAAGTGAAGAACCTCTTCAAGGAAAACTGCAAATCACTCTTCAAAGAAATCAGAGATGACACAAACAAAGTGAAAAACATTCCATACTCATGGATAGGAAGAATCAATATCATGAAAATGGCCATACTACCCAAAGCAATTTATAGATTTAATGCTATTCTTATTAAACTACCATTGACATTCTTCAAAGAATTTTTTAAAAACTATTTTAAAATTCACATGGAACCAAAAAAAGAGCTCGAAGAGCCAAGGCAATCCTAAGCAAAAAGAACAAAGCTGAAGGCATCACATTACCCAACTTCAAACTATACTACAGGGCTACAGTAACTAAAACAGCATGGTACTGGTACAAGAACAGACATATAGACCAATGGAACAGAATACAGAACCCAGAAATAAGACCACACACCTACTAGCATCTGATATTCAACAAATCTGACAAAAACAAGCAATGGGGAAAGGATTCCCTCTTTAATAAATGGTGCTGGGAGAACTGGCTAGCCATATGCAGAAGATTGAAACTGGACCTCTTCCTTACACCATATACAAAAATCAACTCAAGATGGATTAAACACTTAAATGTAAAACCCAAAACTATAAAGACCCTAGAAGAAAACCTAGGCAATACCATTCAGGACATAGGCATGGGCAAAGACTTCATGATGAAGAAGCCAAAACAATTGCAACAAAAGCAAAAATTGACAAATGGGATCTAATTAAAGTAAAGAGCTTCTACACAGCAAAAGAAACTACCAACACAGTAAAAAGACAACCCACAGAATGGGAGAAAATTTTTCAATCTATGCGTCTGACAAAGATCTACAATTCAGCATCTATAAGGAACTTAAATTTACAAGAAAAAAACCATTAAAAAATGGGCAAAGGACATGAACACATACTTCTCAAAAGAAAACATACATGTGGCCATGAAACATATGAAAAAAGGCTCAATATCACTGATCATTAGAGAAATGCAAACCAAAACCGCAATGAGATACCATCTCACACCAATAAGAATGGTTATCATTAAAAAGTGAAAAAACAACAGATGCTGGAGAGGTTGTGTTGGTGGGAGTGTAAACTAGTTCAACCATTGTGGAAGACAGTGTGGCAATTCCTCAGAGACCTAGAGACAGAAATACTGTTTGACCCAGCAATCTCATTACTGGGTATATAACCAAAAGAATATAAATTACTCTATTATAAAAGACATATGCATGCATATGTTCATTGCAGCACTATTCACAATAGCAAAGACATGGAATCAACCCAAATGCCCATCAATGGTAGACTAAATAAAGAAAATGTGGTGCATTATGTAGCCATGAAAAGGAATAAGATCATGTTCTTTGCAGGCACATGGATGGAGCTGGAGGCCATTATCCTTAGCAAATTAACACAGGAACAGAAAACCAAATATCTTATGTTCTCATTTATAGGTGGGAGCTGAATGATGAGTTCATAGTTCTCATTATAGGTGGGAGATGAATGATGAGAACACATGGACACATGGAGGGGAACAACACACACTGGGGCCTGTCGGAGGTAGGGGATGGGAGGAGGGAGAGCATCAGGAAGAATAGCTAACGGATGCTGGGCTTAATAACTAGGTGATGGGATGATCTGTGTAGCAAACCACCATGGCACACATTTACCTATGTAACAAACCTGCACATCCTGCACATGTACCCCTGAACTTAAAATAAAAGTTGGAAAAAATATATTTAAATTACTATTATATTTATCAAAATTATTATACTTATTGGTATAACAGTAACAGTTATCTTTTTTAGACCTTAATATGTGCCAGACATATTGTACATTAAAATATATTATCACATGTGCTTTTCTTAACAGACTATGAGGTAATTATTATTATCTAAATTTTCAGATAAGGAAAACATCTTTCAGTTTGAGTACCTTGCCCAAGATCACAGCTCATAATTTGTTTTAATGATATACCTTAGATAATCAGTATTAAAATTTACATAATACTTCAGTCATTTACACTAATAAGAAAAGTGTTTGAGCAAAATATTAAAAAAACAAAATTACATAATTTCAAATAACACAGCTTTTATTAACCCATTAAATTCATTACAAGGAACCAGTCTAAGGACTGTTGATTGAATCAAAAGAGTGATGGTGACATTCTCTTTATAATTGTCTTGAAATTAATACAAAACACTAATTTATATCACATATTATTCATATGAATTTATTTAACAACATATATTAATTGATTATGTATAAGTGCTTTCAAAATACTTATGATGTTTGAAAATTAGACACACATTCGTATTTTAATGCCCCAGTTACACCTCTCCCAATGTATTACTGAGTAATCTTTTTAATTTTTATTGCACAAACAGAATCTCAGGTAAGTCTTTGAATTAATTAATGCTGGTGATTAGCAAATAAACACCCTTTATGTTTCATATGTCATGCACAATTAAGGACCTGAAATTAATTGAGGAGAATAGAGAACCTGCATTAACGAGACATTCCCTTGCTACCACTGTTGTAAGTATCCAGATAATTTGGGGGTTCATTATAGACATGGAAGAAGTATTTTGTATAAGGAGAATCTTCCCATGTATGCCTTTGGTTTTGCTCTCTCCCCATTACCCTTAGTTTTATGATTTTCTCCTTTTTCAAATCTAAAGTGTTCACAGATCAATCTGAAGAATTCCATATGGATTCAACAGAAATTTACTAAATGCCTAAAATGTGCTAAAGATATAGACAAAATAACTGCCTCTGTTGTGTATGTATATTTTGGGGGAGGAAATACACTAAAATATTTTTTAATCAAATATTTTACCAGCCATTATGCATCAGTCACTATCTAGGTGCCAGGAATGTTGCATGGAAGGAAAATGGGCATGGACTCTGACTCATGGGGCTGAGACTGTAGTAGACATGACAAACAGTTGTCTTTTGTTTTCCTATCATGTTAAGATCTGGGAGAGCATTCCAGGCAAAAGAGAGTGCAAGGCTCTGGAGGACAGTGTGAGCTTCGTGAAAGAATAAGAAGGCCAGTGAGGCTGGAACAGAACGGGTTGGTTGGACAATTATAGGAGACAAGATTGGACAAGTACACATGTAAGACATGGTAAGGAGATTTGATTTTATCCTAATGGTAATCAGATCAAATATCTCTACCCTAACACTTCACTGTCACATTTCATAAAGATACATACAAATGTGAAATCTTCCAGTGAATTTTTTCTGCTTTTTTTTTTCTAAACAAACCTTCATATTCTCAAAACTAAAGAGATAGCACCCAAGAGCTGAACCTAAGGAGAAGCAAATAGAAAAAGAGAAATTAGGAAATAAGAAAGTTAGCAGTTTTCTTTGATAGCAAGTGGAGGAATTAAACATTCCTTCACTGGGCTGGGTGTGGTGGCTCGCGCTTGTAATCCCAACACTCTGGGAGGCCAAGGTGAGAGAATCGCTTGAGCTCAGGAGTTCAAGACCAGTCTGGGCAACATAGTGAGAGCCCTATCTCTACAAAAACTTTAAAAAGAAATTAGCCGGGCCGGTGGAATGTGCCTGTCGTCCCAGCTACTAAGGAGGCTGAGGCGGGAGGATCATCTGAACCCAAGAGGTCAAGGATGTAGTGAGCTGTGTTTGTGTCACTGCACTCCAGCCTGGGTGACAGAGACCCTCTCAAAAAAAAAAAATCCTACATTGGAAGAAAGGAGAAATAACTTCTATTTTTACATTACTAAAGGGGAAAACACGAAATACAAAGCTGTCACCTGGCTTCCGTCAACAGTGATCTGATGATGAACGGTGTCCCCTCAGAATATAAAGGTGTTCTTTGAACGTTCACAGGAGCGATACCTAACCCGGATCATAGAGGGTGTTTGTGTTCAGAGGACACTAAATTTGAGTCTCTGCATGCATCACACAAGTCTTCACCCAAACTACCATTTGCAGGCTCACTTCTTAGCCCCAACCCTACTGAGAACGCAGAGCCATTTGCACGCTTCCTGTCCTTGGAAACGGAAGAAACTTCAATTACATGATGGCTTTATGCTACCTAGACCTCTTTCTTCAGTCTTTGGCATGTTCTAATCTCGGAGGCGACTTTACACAGATGGCAATAGCATTCGCAGCTTGGAGGTCTTTTACCAGTGGCTAAAACTTGATCCAACAGCCTCAGCCGGTTCCCCCTGACTCCAGCCCTCTAGATGCTTCTCAACATCACCTTCATCTCCTTTCCTTTATTCAGGACAGTCGTGCCAAGAAATGCCTAAGAGAAGGGTGACCCTGGAAATGTCTTGACTCTGGGAAGATCTTCTAACCACTCCACATGGTAATAAGCACAGTGTTGACAGGTGTGAGGACTGAAGTGGGAGATCAAAGAGGAAAAGCCACGAATGAGGGTGTGGGGGGCAGTCAAGAGAAGCTCCCAAGGGAGCATGATCTGTGTAAATGCAGATTCTCTGGGTATTGGAAGATCCTTGGGGACAAATGCCAAGAAGACACCAACTTCTTTTATCAGCATCTCTCAGAATCCATGCCCTGTGGGTAGTTATATGTGAATATCAGAATCGCCCTCCACTGCCAGGGAGACCCAAGGCTTAATCTTGTATCTAATTTGGAAACAAAAAAAAATGTATATGATGAAATTATTCTGTAGTTTTGCTTGTAGCAGCCTCAGTTATCTTAAATATTCCTCCAACACATTATTTTCTTTATTAACTGTTACTATGCCCATGGCATTCATCACTCTGACACTTTCATAATGGATTATGAGGCTTGTACTTGTACTGATTTATTTATGTATTTGTCTCTGTTTGTTTTTTAGAGATGCGGGGGGTCTCACTGTGTTGCCTAGGCTGGTCTTGAACTCCTGACCTCTAGTGATCCTCCCGCCTGGGCCTTCCAAAGTGCTCAGATCATGGGCATGCACCCAGCCACATTTTTAACCTATATAAATAGAGATGGGGGGAAAAAACAAAAAACTCCAAAGCATTTTTCCTTCTGTCTTACACAGTTACTTCTGACATCAGGTATGTGGAGATTTTTCCCCCACACCAAGCAATTCTCCAGCAGACACCTGGTTCCTCTAAATCAATTCAATTCTGATACTATTTACCTAAAAATAGCATCAGATCCCACAGATTGAGGGATCAGTCATGCAAAACTGCCCCCCTCCCACTTCAGATGCCAGTTGCTATCACCTGTACTTCTGACCATCCAATTATAGATTGGAGGTTCCCACAAACCTTTCCTCAGGTTCAATTAATTTGCTAGAGCAGCCCAAAGAATTCAGGGAAACACTTACTTACATACACTGGTTTATTACATAGGATAAGACAAAGGATACAGACTAACAGATTGATAAAGAAAAACAAAACACATAGGACAAAGTATGGGGGAAAGAGTGCGGAGCTTCCACACCTTCTTCAAGAGCCTATCCTCCAGGCATCTTTCCGTGTTCTGCTATCTGGAAACTCTCCAAACTCTGCCCTTTTGGGTTTTAATGGAGGCTTTGTTATGTCAGCATGGTGAGTTGATTAAACCATTGGCCATTGGCAGTCAACTCAACCTTCAGCCCCTCCCTTCTCCCCAGAGATTGTGAATGGGCTGAAAATCCCAACCCTCTAATCCTGCCTTGGTCTTTCTGGTGACCAGCCCCAGCCACCAGTCACCTCATTAGCATGCAAAAGACACTCTTATCACTCTGGAGATTCCAAGAGTTTTAGGAGCTGAAGGGCAGGAACCAGGGTCAGAAACCAAATATATACTTCCTATTATATCACAATATCACACACACTAGCTTGGGTCAATCAGTTGCATTAATTATTTGTGTATGATGTGAAGTACTCTTTTTAGTCACAAATTTATCTCTTTCAAATTACCAGGTAGGAAGTCAAAGGGAAAATTCTTTATTTCACTTTTGGAAAACTAATGAATAAACTAAATTAGTAATTGCATGCTATTTCCACTTCTGTAAAAATGATATAGACTCTATATGCCTGTTATGAATAATAGATGAGCTTTGCAATGAAGAGCTATGCATGTTACTTTTTATTAGAATGAGTATGGCTTCAATTTTTATGTGACTATCAAAAGAGAAATATGGTTCTTTTTTCTAATTTAGAGTTTATCTAATAATGGTCCGTGAGCTCTTGTGACCTCTCTTTAAACTAAGGTACATCTCACTGTTTCAACTCATGCCTCTGTGTCCTGCTCAGTGATTCACCATCTCCCTATACAAGAGATCCCCGACCTAGCAAGCTCATCTACAAACAAATATTCTTATTCTTGGAACAGAGTTGCCAAAAGCAGAGGCACACAGAAAAAAAAGTCTGTGTTTGAGAGCTCAGGAGAGAGAGGAGCCAAAAGAAACATCTACCAGCAGCTAAATGATTTGGTTCCTGAAGGGATTCACTTCCATGAATAAGAATACGAGTAGGTACTCTCATTGGTACTTCTTCCTCATCTGTAGGTACCTGAGATGACTGTGTCCTCTAAAGCTTCTGTGATGCTAGATGCACCCAACATCATTTTCTATAATTGAGGATCGTAGCTTTCCCCTGTGATCCTCTGGCTCTATTGTGGGAAGATAGTCAAAAAATCATCTTTTAAAGTAGGAAATAAACTTCTTTTTATAGAATCAGCTCCCCTTCCTCTGCGCTTGTGGTTTCCATTACTATAAAAGAGAGCACTGAAGTCCAAAGAAAGTACTGTGTATTTCCCTTTTGGGGCCCTGATGTCCTGCCCATGGCATTCATGCCCCCAAAATTGTTTCATGCCACCATGAAATTGCCTCCACGTGGTGCCCATCTTTTTCCCTTCACTCATATTCTCAACATTTCCAGAACCAGAGAGAGAGAGACGGAGAAACAGAGAAGTTCTGACCTCAACACCACCTTTTCCTACAGAATATGTGGCACCCGTATTTTGTCAGAGAAGACAAACGCGTTGTTCCTCAGATTGGTAGGATTCATGGGCATTTCATCCTCATAATATGAGGTTGTATGCAGACAGTGCCTCCTGGTATCAAGAAGCCATGTGAGTTACACCACAGAGGAGAGGAAGTTAGGGGTTTCAAATATTTCAAAGAATAAGGAAGCTAAGTCATACTCAGAAGTTAAGAAGAACTTTGGGGAGAGAGGAAGTCAAAATACAGAAATGCATTCAAAAAAAAGTTTAGGATGTAGAGGAGGATGGGATCACCATGAGACAGCCGTCCAATGCCCATGATAGTTCCTGTTACAGTAAGCCACGTCTTCAGATAGAGAGAGAAAAGGCTACATGTATACTTGCCTTGTATGAATGAGCACTGTTGTTTGATGAATTCCATCTCTTCCCCTCTTTTCAGTCCCTTCATCCTCATTGTAATAACAAGACTGCTGGTGATGTGGCCATGCAGAGCTCTTGTCCCTCATGTTCTTTCCACCTCAATCTTTCACTTTTCTCTATTTCTGCTTCTCCTGGTCCTACCTGGGCTCTCCCCAAGGGCTGCTCCTCACCGGGCAGCTAGTTACACGGCCACCACCACCCTGCCATCTACACAGAGGCCCTCCATCTCTCTGTGACCATTTTGATGAGATCTCTTTTTTTCATGGCATCCATCTTGGCAGTAGCAAGTTCATAGCCCAGAGTAAGAGGATTACCTGTTGGGATGCACAAAGGAATTTAAACCCCATTAAAATTTGTGACCCAAATCATTGTTTATGCTTAACAGAAATAGCAGCAATAAGATCGATTGAGGAATTATTTCACGTACTAAAACAGAAGACCTATCATTTTGTGGGAGGTAGTAGCCATGAATCCAAATCAAGCCTAGTAGTAGTACATTCCCCAGCGTGCTCAGAATATGCATAGAGAGTTTAAATCAAGGCGTAAGAGTTTCCAACCCTTCTATCTGTATGGCCAAGCCCCATTCATGTTAGTGCTGGAAGCATTCTTCCTGTATCTCATTGGTTTCTCGGGTACTTTTTCTCAATGTCTCCATTTAAAAACGTTTATATAGAGTTCTGGTTTCTGCTTGGGGATGCAGAGAACTGGAAACAATGATGCTTCCTTGCAACATGAAAGAAATCACACAAATTGCAAGGTCGCAATTTTTTTCAACCCATCACAGAGCTGGGATTGAGCTTCCAACTAGCTTGAAATCTAGGAGAGTTGTCGCCTGAGTGCTTGCTTACCTAAGGCAGGTACAGCTGGGCACTGGTAAGAAGAATTTAGCTGGAATCATTTAAAAATTGACTGAGGTCAAATGTGGGCTGGAAAGAGTACAGAGCCCCAGGGGCTCACGAGTATAGGGCGGTTCACACCTTCTTGCAAGCTTCGTATCCGGGAATGCCAGTGGGTGTTCACAAATAAAAAATGGGAGAGTCCTGAGAAGGCATTCCGCATGCTTTTCAAGGAAAAGAATAAATAGAAGTTAAAGGCTTTATACATCGATGTGCATCAAATGAGTTAATTAGCAGAATATAAGGGAAGCAAAGACTTTACTATCTCATGTTGAGAGCAGACTACATACTCAAACCCTATTTCGTCTGTTTTTTGTTTGTTTGTTTGTTTGTTTGTTTTGAGATGGAGTCTTGCTTTGTCGCCCAGGCTGCAGTGCAGTGGCGCGATCTCCTCTCACTGCAACCTCCGCCTCCCCATTAGCAGGGATTACAGTCGCACACCACCACACCCGGCTAATTTTTTTTTTGTATTTTTAGTAGAGAAGGAGTTTCACCATGTTGGCCAGGCTGGTCTCGAACTCCTGACCTCATGTGATCTGCCTGCCTCGGCTTCCCAAAGTGCTGGAATACACGTGTGGGCCACTGCGCCCAGCCTCCTCCGTTAATCTATTATCATTCTTCTCTAATATTCTCAAACTTACTTAATTCATTAACGTGATATATGTTGACATCTCATTAAATATGTCTCTATTTATGACATACTCAACAACATGTGTGTAGTGTCATAAAATTTTAATTTATTTTATAAATATTTAACACTAACTGAGTGCCAGGCATTCTTCTATGCACTTAAATAGCAGACAGGCATGGTGGCCGACACCTGTAACCCCAGCACTTTAGGAGGCCGAGGCAGGAAGATCACTTGAGCCCAGAAGTTCAAGACCCTGTGGTTTCAGAGGCTGAGGTGGGAAGACCACTGGAGCCCAGGAGGTCAAGACTGCAGCGAGCCATTATTGCACCACTGCACTCCAGCCTGTGGGACAGAGGGAGTGAGACCCTGTCTCAGATGAAAGAAAGAGAGAGAGAGAGGCATAGAGATGCATATGCACACAACGATTACATCGTAGGGCTGTTTAAATTACTCATTCTGGCTGGGGGTCTGTGCTCTAAACCACTATTGGTATGCTATTTCTGTGTGGCTGGTCTGGAAAGCTTCACACCACCCCCCTCTCCCTTCCCTGAATTTCCATATTCCCCCCAACCCTCATTATCCCTTTCAGAGTCTCGCAGGTTGAGGTGATGTGAGAGAGGAAGCAGAAGCGAAGGTTACGCGAGGAAAGCCCCTCGTTAAACTTGGGATTTTCACGGGGACTCAGTCCAGAGGAAGTTGAGAAAACCAACTTAAATTACGGTCTCGATCGCCATCTGGCGGTGGAAGTCCACATTACATCCGCGGAGCAATGGCTGGGAACGTTGCATAATAGAGCGGGGCTCAAATTCCAAATTAAGTTTCTGAATTTTTTCCATCTGGAATTTTATTTGATGATTAGTCTAGCATCGTAATGGTGTCCTTCGTGTTGACGTGAAAACCCAGCCTTCCTTCAGTTCATTTCCCGTTTATTAGGGATGCAAAACTCCAGCCACAGATGACCTACGACTCTGACTCCTTCCCCACCTACTTTACCCTCCCCTCCCCCAGTACATTCTGGGGCTAAACCCTAAGAGGTACCCATGCATCGCTGGGCCGATGATGAAAATGAAGAAGTATTCTGATGAAGCGAGACCCCGGAAGTGCAGCTTCAGGCAAAATCCTGAGCGAATTCTTTGCTGCCAGGACAGTCCATAGGATCTTACTCTTAGAAATTACGTAAGCATGAGCAGTCAACGCTGAAAAGCAGAGAATGTGGTTTTCTGGCGGACTCCAGAGGGAGACCAGGAAATCCTCTCACTTACAATCCATCAAGAGTAGTTCCTCCAAATTGAGTACAAAGTCTCTAAAGGCCAGCAGAGACAAGTAAGGACTTGTAGTGAGCTGCAGCTCACCACCCGGATCAGAACATAAAAGACAGGAGACCTCACGGCCTGGAGACCCACTAGAGCAAAATCTGCCATCCCAGGCAGGGAGGAGAATCAGGCGGAGGCCTGACATGGTGAGGCCTTGCTCCAAGTGGAGAAGGTGCATAAACTTAACAACTTTGTTATTGCCCTGAGGATGTGATGTGGCAAAGGGGACAAGGATTGGATAGATTGTCTTACTGATGGAAGTTGGTAACAAACAAGGCAAATCAAAAAAGAAGCCATGAGATCCAGGGAACTGCTGTACAGGGGACATGGCTGCATAATATTAGTATAGTAACTCATTATGCACTTGTGTGGCAGACAGTGGCTGAATTCTGGAGACGGAAAATATTAATAAGACACGGAGTCCTGCTTACCACCCAGGAGACATATTAGCAAACAAAGGGGCACAGCAGAAATGTGTGTAAAATTAGGACATTGAAGTCACAAACAATTAGGAAAATTTTCTAGTGGAAATGACATTCAAGCTGATCGAGGGTATATGGAGAATGGCTTCCAAGTCTAACAAAGCATGAGCGGCTTGGACACTTGGACAGGCTTCGAGGGAAGTGAAAGTCTTTCGGAATTGGTAAAATGGGTGGGTGACAGATGAAGCAGAGGGCTAGGGATGGATGCCTCACACACCAGGCTAAGGACTTGGGTCTTTGATCTGCAGTCAGTAGGACCAGTATGCAGACTGATAGTAAGGGAAGGGTCATGGGCAGCTTCACGTTTTAGAAAGACTACTCTGATGGGAAGAGTGGGTTAGAGGAGCATAAAATTGAAAGCAGAGAAAGCAGCGTGGGTAACTGTTAGAGTAACACAGACCAGACATGATGGGGCTCGAATTAAAGTAGGATCAGGGATCTAGAGAGAGGGTCAGAGACACGTGAGGGAGCAGATGCAACATGATGTGTCGTCATCCATTGTATATGGGAGAGAGGAGAAGGCGAGAGCAGAAGATGCTTGGGAGACCAAGTGGTTAGTAATTCCAGTCATCAAGAAAGGACAGTTTAAGAGAACATTCCATATTAGACATTTTGTATTTGTAGGGCCTGTGGGTCATCCAGATGAAACTTTACTCTGTGTGGTAGATGGAATAATGCCCCCAACTGCCACCCCTGAAAGATCTGAATCTATGAAACCTGTGAATCTGTTACCTTACATGGCAAAAGGGACTTTGCATTAGTGATTAGATTAAGGATCTTGAGATGGGGAGATTATTCTGGATTAGCCAAGTGGTCCTGATATAATTACATGGGTCCTTCTAAGTGAAAGAAAGAGGCAAGAGAATAGAAGAAGGAGATGTGATATTAGAAGCAAAAATCAGAGGAAAGTGATTGCTGGAAGGGGGCTACAAGCCGAGGAATGCAGCTGGTCGCTGCAAGCTGGAAGAGGCAAAAAACAGATTATCCGCTAAAGCCTTCAGAAGGGGAACACAGACAAGCTAACACCTTGATTAGCCCTGTACAAGTGTTAAAAGAAAAACTTTGAACAAATTAAATTTATTTTGATTTATTTGAGCAAAGCACAATTCATGAATTGGGCAGCATCCAGGACCAGAAGAGGTACAGAGAGCTCCACTGAGCAATAGGGGCAGGCAATATTTATAGAGAGAAAAAGGAAGTGGTATACAGAAGCAGCTTGTTTACAGCTCAGTATTTGCCTTATTTGATCATGGTCTGATCAGTTGGCAACCTGTGATTGCCTGAAGCTTGGCTGCTGTGTTTGCCTGAGACTCAGCTATTTATTACAAGAATATGCTCTTAAGTTAGGGTACAATTTTCTTACACATTAAGTTAGATTTCAGTATACTACGTAGGAATTCAAAGTACAGAGGCCGCTTTAAGCCAAATTTAATTTAATTTAACAGGACCCATTTTAGGCTTATAATTTCCAGAACTGTCCAACAATAAATTTTTGTTGTTTTAAAACACTAAATTGTGGTAATTTGTTACAGCACCAATAGGAAACTAATATATCCTGTAATCACGAAGCAATATAGCTCAAACCTCAGGCTTGGGGACCATATGGATTTGAGTTCTTATCATAGCTCCATCGCTTCCTACCCATATGAACTTGCGTGTCTTAATTAACCTCCCTAAGCCTCCACTTTCTCATTTGTAAAATGGGACTATCTACTAGAATTTCTGTCTGGAAAGAGGAATGGGGAGGCAGTGTGGTCAGCTGTTTTGCATAACAAGCCCTGTAGAAATACAGATGCTCCTTGACTTCAGGTGGGTTTGTGTCCTGATAAACTGCAAGTTGAAAATGCATTCAATACCCCTAACCTATCAAACATCATAGTTTAGCCCAGCCTACCCTCAACATGCTCAGAACACTTACATTAGCGTGGCTGACTGGGAGCTGTGGCTCACTACTGCTGCTCAGCGTCAGGTGAGAGTGTTATACCACATATCACTAGCCCAGAGAAAGACTGACATTTCAAATTTGAAGTACATTTCTTCCAGAATGTGTACTGCTTTCACGCCATCACAGCTGAACAATCTTAAGTGGAACCATCATAAGTCAGGAACCATCTGTATTTGATGTTTTAAACCATGTCATGTATAACTTTTTTAAAAAAAAGATAAAATAATTTTAAATATTAAAATAGGAAAATTTTAAAAATAAAAAAGACATTTTTTCTTTTCTTTTTCTTTTCTTTTTTTTTTTTTTTTTAGGCAGAGTCTTGTTCTGTCACCCAGGCTGGAGTGCAGTGGCGTGATCTTGGCTCACTGCAAGCTCCACCTCCTGGGTTCACACCATTCTCCTGCCTCAGCCTCCCGTGTAGCTGGGACTACAGGCACCTACCACCATGCCCAGCTAATTTTTCATATTTTTTAGTAGAGACAGGGTTTCACTGTGTTAGCCAGGATGGTCTTGATCTCCTGACCTAGTGATCTGCTCACCTCAGCCTCCCAAAGTGCTGGGATTATAGGCGTGAGCCACATTTTTTATTTTCTAAAATGAAAATGTTGATATTTAATTTTTAATCCCCTTCAAAAAAGCAACTACTCTGTTTATGAGATTTATAGAGAATTCCATATAGTTAATACTAAATACATTCCTACATCAGAATTTGTTTAATACAAAATCAATTATTTAGGTTAAAATGTTAACACTCTTCCACTAAATTACCACTGCAATTGTGTAACTTCAAAATGCTCAGGATATTGTCAACAGAGGAAATAGAAATTGATCTTCTAGCACAATAGTCAAACAAAATTGACTATACAAGATTTTGGATGCTTGTTACACTGTTGACTCAAAACAATTCTAAACAACTCAATGTACTTGATGGACAGAATGTACTAAGAAACCAACAAAAGCAATTCATTTCTTACTTAGCTACATAAGCTAAGTAAGAAAATCGCAAATGCTGACATCAAAGGAAGCTTTCCAAGCATAGAAATAAACTCTGATAGATTATTTCAGATCCAGGATATTTGGAAAATAAATCAGATTGCCTTTTTGGATAATTCCTAAAGAATCACACAATTATGACTTTTGAATCCTTTATTAATGGAGGTTACAGCAGCCTAAATAATTTGAAAAGTGGGGTTGGCTCTCAAATAACATGGAGGGTTTGTTTTAGAGGAAACATGTAACACAACAGGACTCCAGAAGCACGTGCTTTAAGGTATAAGGACATGTACCCCTGGTGACAGAGGATGTATAAATATTGTGAGTCCAAATATATAGGCCACTTGTTTAAGAAAAAAAGACATTAGGAGTATAAAAAGGAATCAAATGTAAGTGCAAACTCATAATAAATCTAAACTACATGAGGCATAAAGCCTAAATAAGTGCTTAAGTAGCTGAAATAGTATCACTTTATGTTGGAAACCTGAAAGGGACTAAATATATGACATAGAGTCCATATTTAAAAACTTCATGTAGGCATTAAATAGAAAGGATACAGCTCATTTGACAACCAGTAGAAAAGGCAGCTATTTAAAGAAGCGTAATCCAAGTTAATGATATACATATATGAGGTATTAGAATACGTAATTCAATGGCCATTCATGATAAAATGCTCAGAAAATGCAAATAGAGAGGAACTGCCTCAACTTGATAAAGAGCATCTGCAAAAAAATCTCACAGCTAACACAGCGGTGAAAGACTGAAATTTTTCCCCCAAAGATCGGGAACAAAGCAATGATGTCCACTCTCGCCATGCTTATTCAACATGGCGTTGGAAGTTCTAGATAATGTAATGGGCGAGAAAAAAAAAAGGCGTGCAGATTTCAAAGGAAGAAATAAAAATGGATCAAAGTCTAATATGTAAAACATAAAGTCACAAAACTCTCAGGAGAAAATCTTCAGGATCTAGGGTTAAGCAAAAAGCTTTTAGACTTGACACCAAAGGCATAATCCATAACAGGAAAAATTAATAACGTGCAACTACTAGTGGTTTGTCCTCACCAATTTGTATTTGAGGTTTATGGGGATACTTTGACACTTAGTTTTGTTGAAAATGTTAAGATGCTGTATTAAATTATACTTTTTATTTTGATATAATTGTTGATTCACGGACACTTTTAAGAAATGTTACAGAGATATCTCATGTACATTTTACCCAGTTTCCTCCAAGGATAACATCTTGTAAACTACAGTAAATTATCACAGTCTGGATATTGACATTGATATAATTAAAATAAAGAACACTTTCATCACTATAATATCCCTCATTTTGCCCTTTTGTAGCCACAGCCACTTCCCTCCCATTTCCACTTCTTCATTAACACAGCAATTATTAATTTCCATCTCTATAGTTTTGGCATTCCAGGAGTGTTATATAAGTGGAATCATTTAGTAGACAACATTTTGCAATTTTTTTTTTCACTCAGCATAATTCCCTGGTGATTCATCCAGGTCGTGGTGCCTGTATCCAGTTTGTTCGTTTTTATTGCTAAGTAGTATTTCCTAGTATGGATATACCACAGTTTGTTTCCAGTTTTTGTCTGAATAAAGCTGCTATGAGCATACATGTGCAGATTTTTCTCTGAACATAAGTCTTCATTTCTCTGGGATAAATGCTCAGGAGTGCAATTGCTGGGTTGTATGGTGGTTGCATGTTTTGCTTTTAAAGAAAATGCCAAACTATTTTCCAGTGTGGCTGTACTATATTACATTCCCAGCAGCCAAATGTGAGTGATCTATTTTCTCTGCATCCTCACCAGGATTTGGTATTGTGCCTACTTTTTATTTTTAGCTATCATGATAGGTATATAGTAATATCTTATTGTGGTTTTAATTTGTAATTCTCTAATGGCTAATGACATTGCACATGTTTTCATGTCCTTATTTTGTATCTATGTATCTTTTTTGGTTCCATATGCATTTTAAAATAGTTTTTACTAGTTCTGTGAAGCATCTCAATTGTAGTTTGATAGGAATAACATTGAATTATAAATTGCTTTGGGCAGTATGGCCATTTTAATGATATTGTTTCTTCCTATCCATGAGCATGCAATGTTTTTCCATTTGTTTGTGTCATTTCTGATTTCATTGAGCAGTGCTTTTTAGTTCTTCTTGTGGAGATCTTTCACCTCCCTGGTTAGCTGTATTCCTAGGTATTTTATTCTGTTTGTGGCAATTGTGAATAGGACTGCATTCCTGATTTTGCTCTAGGCTTGACTGTTGTTGGTGTATAGAAATATTAGTAATTTTTGCACATTGATTTTGTATCCTGAGACCTTGCTGAAGTTGTTTATCAACTTAAGAAGTTTTTGGGCTGAGACGATAGAGTTTTCTAGATAGATGATCATGTCATCTGCAAACAGGAATACTTTGACTTCCTCTTTTCCTATTTGGCTGCTCTTTATTCTTTTCTCTTGCCTGATTGCCCTGGCAAGGACTTCAGTACTATGTTGAATAGGAGTAATGAGAGGGGGCATTCTTGTCTTCTGCCAGTTTTCAAGGGGAATGCTTCCAGCTTTTGCCCATTCAGTATGATGTTGGCTGTGGGTTTGTCATAGATGGCTCTTACTATTTTGACGTATGTTCCTTCAATAGCTAGTTTATCAAGAGTTTTTAACATGAAGGAGTGTTGAATTTTATCAGAAGACTTTTCTGCATCTATTGAGATAATCATGTGGGTTTTGTCTTTAGTTCTGTTTATGTGATGAATCACATTTACTGATTTTTATATGTTGAACAAACCTCATATCCCAGGGATAAAGCCTACTTGATCATGGTAGATTGGCTTTTGGATGTGCTGCTGGATTCGGTTTGCTGGTATTTTGTTGAGGATTTTTTTGCATCAATGTTTATCAAGGATATTGGCCTGAAGTTTTCTTCTTTTGTTGTGTCTCTGCCAGGTTTTGGTATTTAGATGATGCTAGCTTCATAGAATGAGTTAGGTAGGAGTCTCTTCTCCTCAATTTTTTGAAATAGTTTCAGCAGGAATTGTACCATTTCTTCTTTGTACACCTGATAGAATTCAGCTGTGAATCCATTTGGTCCTGGGTTTTGTTTTGTTTTGTTTTGTTTTTTTTGGTAGGCTATTTACTACTGACTCAATTTCAGAGCTCATTATTAGTCTGTTCATAGATTCAATTTCTTCCTAGTTCAGTCTTAGGGGGTGTATGTGCCCAGGAATTTATCCATTTCTTCTAGATTTTCTACTTTATGTCATAGAAGTATTCATAATATTCTCTGATGGTTGTCTGTATTTCTGTGGGGTCAGTGGTAATACCTCCTTTGTCATTCCTAATTGTGTTTATTTGAATCTTCTCTCTTTTCTTCTTTATTAGTCTAGCTAGAAGTCCATCTATTTTATTAATTATTTCATAAAACCAGCTCCTGTATTCATTGATCTTTTGAATCATTTTTGTGTCTCAATCTCCTTCCATTCAGTTCTGGATTTTGGTTATTTCTTGTCTTCTGCTAGCCTTGAGATTGGTTGGCTCTTGATACTCTAGTTCTTTTAGTTATTATGTTAGGTTGTTAAATTGAGATATTTCTAACTTTTTGATGTGGGCATTTAGTGCTATAAATTTCCTTCTTAACACTGCTTTAGTTGTGTCCCAGAGCTTCTAGTGTGTTGTATCTTTGTTCTCACTCATGTCAAAAAGTTTCTTGATTTCTGCCTGAATTTCATTATTTTCCCAAAAGTCATTCAGGAGCAGGTTATTTAATTTCCATGTAATTGTACGGTTTTGAGTGAACTTTTTTGTCTTGGTTTCTAATTTGATTGTGCTGTGGTCCAAGAGATTTTTTCTTATGATCAGTTCTTTTGCATTTGCTGAGGAGTGTTTTACTTCTAATTATGTGATCGATTTTAGAGTATGTGCCATGTGACAATGAGAAAAATGTATATTCTGTCTTTTTGGGGTGGAAAGTTCTATAAGATGTCTATCAGGTTCATTTGATCCAGAGCTAAGTTCAGGTCCTGGGTATCTTTGTTAATTTTCTGTCTTGATGATCTGTCTAACATTGTCAATGGGGTGTCAAAGTCTCCCACTATCATTGTGTGGGAGTCTAAGTCTCTTTGAAGGTCGTTAAGAACTTGCTTTATGAATCTGGGTGCTCCTCTTTTGGAGGTATATATTTTTAGAATACTTAGATCTTTTGTTGAATTGAACCATTTACCATTATGTAATGCCCTTCTTCATCTTTTTTGATCTTTGTTGGTTTAAAGTCTGTTTTGTCTGAAACTAGTATTGCAACCCCTGCTTTTTCCTGTTTTCCATTTGCTTGGTAGATTTTTCTCCATCTGTTTATTTTGATCCTATGTGTGTCACTGCATGTGAGATGAGTCTTTTGAAGACAGCATACTAATAGGCCTTGGTTCTTTATCCAGATTACCACTCTGTGCCTTTTAATTGGGGCACTAGCCATTTACTTTTTTTTTTTTTTTTTTTTTTTTTTTTTTGAGACGGAGTCTCGCTCTGTCGCCCAGGCTGGAGTGCAGTGGCGGGATCTCGGCTCACTGCAAGCTCCGCCTCCCGGGTTCACGCCATTCTCCTGCCTCAGCCTCCCAAGTAGCTGGGACTACAGGCGCCTGCCACTACGCCCGGCTAATTTTTTGTATTTTTAGTAGAGACGGGGTTTCACCGTTTTAGCCGGGATGGTCTCGATCTCCTGACCTCGTGATCCGCCCGCCTCGGCCTCCCAAAGTGCTGGGATTACAGGCGTGAGCCACCGTGCCCGGCCCCATTTACATTTAAGATTAGTATTGATATGTGTGGATTTCATCCTGTCATCATGATGTTAGCTGGTTATTTTGCAGACTTGTTTATGTGGTTGCTTTATAGTGTCACTGGTCTGTGTACTTCAGTGTGTTTTTGTAGTGGCTAGTAAGTCTTTCCTTTCCATATTTAGTGCTTCCTTCAGGAGCTCTTGTAAGACAAGTCTAGTGGTAATGAAATTCCCTCAGCATTTCCTTCTCTGAAAAGGTTCTTATTTCTCCTTCACTTTTGAAGATTAGTTTGGCCAGATATGAAATTCTGGGTTGAAATTATTTTCTTTAAGAATAATAAATGTTGGCCCCCAGTCTCTTCTGGCTTGTAGAGATTCTTCTGACAGGTCCACTGTTAGTCTGATGGACTTTTCATTGTAGGTGACCTGGCCTTTCTCTCTAGCTGCCAACTGTTTTTCTTTCATTTCAACCTTGGAGAATCTGATAATTATGTGCCTTTGGAATGATCTTCTTGTGAAGTATCTTACTGGGGTTCTCTGCATTTCCTGTATTTTAATGTTGGCCTCTCCAGCTAGGTTGGGGAGATTCTCATGGATGATACCCTGAAATATGTTTTCCAAGTTGGTTTCATTCTCCCCATCTCTCTCAGGAACACCAATGAGTCATAGATTTGGTCTGTTTACATAATCTCATATTTTTCAGAAGTTTTGTTCCTTCCTTTTCATTCTTTTTTCTCTATTCTTGTCTGACTATCTTATTTCAGAAAGCCAGTCTTGAAGTGTGGAGATTCTTTTTTCCACTGGGTCAGTTCTGCTATTAATAGTTGTGATTGCATTATGAAATTCTTATAGTGTGTTTTTCAGCTCTATCAAATTGGTTATGTCCTTATCTATACTGGCTATTTTATCTATCAGCTCCTGCATTGTTTTATCATAATTTTTAGCTACCTTGGATTGGGTTTCAGTGTACTTCTGTAGCTCAATGATCTTCATTTCTATCCTTATTCTGAATTACATATCTGTCATTTCAGCCATCTCAGCCCAGTTCAGAATCCTTGCTCGAGAGGTGATGTGGTCGTTTGGAGAACAGAAGACACTCTGGCTTTTTGAGTTGTCAAGGTTCTTGCCTGATTCTTTCTCATCTTTGTGGGCTTATTTTCCTTTAATCTTTGAGACTGCTGACCTTTGGACAGCAAAGATCATCCAACCTTTTTTATTTATCCTATTTATCCTATTTGATGACTTTGAGGGTTTGATTGTGGTATAAGGTGGATTCAGCCAACTGACTTCATTTCTGGACAATTTTATTTGGCCAGTATTCCACTCCCAACTCCTGGACTGCATGCTGTAATTCTTTGGGACTTGTATGGGACCCTGACTTTGTTCTCTGTTTCCTCAGAATTAGGAATCCGCTGTGATGGGCGGGGGGTGGGGGAGGTGGCAGGAGTGGTGCAGTCCGAAGTGCTCCCAGACCACTGGTCACTACACTCCAATGAGTGGTGTCAGCCAAAGTGTTTCATAGTACAGTGACAGGAGGATCTGTCCTTGTTTGAGTGTACCAGCAGCAGTGGTAGTTGAAGCTGTAGCAGAGTACTAGCAGGTGCCGGGGTGCCCACCTCCCTGCAGGCATCCACCACAGTGGCAGAGGCAATGCAACTGCAGGAAAGGAAGGGGGTCCCCTGCTGGCAACTGTGTGTGTGGTCACACAGGAAGTGGTGTTGGCTTAGGGGCAAGGCATTGGCAGGTGCAGGTCTGCGTGCCTTTTCTGTGCAGGAGTGGTCACTCAGGGTGGGGGAGGATCAGCTGTTCTCTGCTCAGTGTTAGCACAGGGTGGGATGATGGAGGGAGTGGGGCTGGCTGGCTCTGTGCCCACCAAGGCTCTGTCTGCAATGGCTGTCAGGAGGGAATTGGTGGGGGGTGAATTACACTCCTATGCTGGTGAGGCAAGGAAAACAAAACCCACCCAGCAGACATGTACCAGCAAAATGATGTGGGGAGTTGCTGTGGGCCCAGAGGAAGCTGCAGTGTGGGGAGGGAGCATGGAGGCTGGTGCCTGGCCATAGGGGCCTCCTCATTGGAGCTCTCCACTTACTGGTCAGTCATGGTCTGCCAGTGTAGAAGCTATGGTGCAGGCCCACAGGGCACCTGAGGCTGCTTTGAAAGCAGATGTGGCCAGGCCGGGGCCCCAGGAGAGGCCAGAAGACCAACGGTTGCTCAGGTAGAACCAGACTCATCTGATGGGCAAGACCACCCTACAGATTTCGGGACCAACAGTTTCCCTAGGGCTAATGTCTCCTATGGGAGTAAGTTGAGCCTAGGGAAATGGCCATCCCTGGCCATGCTCCACTGCAGATGCTCCTGCACTGAATCCTCTAGGCTCCACACCCGCTGGCTTGCCGCCCCTATGGCTTCTCTAAGCAGCTCTTCCTGCCAACTCAAGTGTCCATGGTGGTCAATGGGTCTCCTCCTGCCATGGTTGCAGAGGTCATAGTGACAGTGGGTTGTTCCTTGCCAGTTCAACTCACCCATTTTCCTGGAGCCATTGGAGGACAGGAATGAGTCTGGATGTGCTGTAGCCCCATGTAGGGCTCCCAGCTTTCTCCCACTTCAGTCCAGCTTCTGTGTCTTCCCTCTGTCCACTCTAGGTGCCTTCTGTCTGAACATCTGTTAGGAGCACGCCAGTCATCTGGGTTCCTCGTTGAGAACTGTTTCACCTGGCTGCATCTAGTCAGCGATCTTGCCCTCCCCCCAACCAAAATACATTCCAATAAAACTTGTGGATACTAAAGAAAAAGAAAATACCATCTGGATACTCAGCAAAAGTAGCAATGACTTTTTAATAATTAGATTATCATCAGACTTTTTGATAGCAGTTATGTGAAAATGTAGTAACTTTTTAAGATACTCAAGAGCGGAAAATGGAACCAAGATTTTTATAGCCACAAAACTGACTTTCGACTATGAAGTGCAAGAACTTCCTGGTGTGGACTGAATATGCCGTCCCAAAATTCATATGATGAAATCGTAACGCCCAAGGTGACAGTACCAGGAGGTGACGCCTTTGGAAGGTGATTAGGTCATGAGGGTGCAGCCCTTATGAATGGCATTAGGGCCCTTATAAGGGAGATTCCAGATAGCTCCCTTTCCTTCTGCCACATGAAGTCTTAGTGAGAAGATGCTGCCAGCAGGCCTTCACCAGATCCCTACCAGGCTGACACACTGATCTTAGACCTCCAGCCTCCAGAACTGTGAAAAATACATTTCTGCTGTTTTTAAGCCATCCAGTCTCTGGTAGTTGGTTATAGCAGCTCATACAAACTAAGACACTTTCCTAAGTCTTCCTGAGGCACCTAGGAGAAATAGTTTCAAACAATCATGATGACTACATCAGTAGCTTATAATTCTTTTGGTATCAGGATCCCTTTTTATTCGTAAAATTGTTGAGAACACCAAGAAGCTTTAGTTTACATGGGTTATGTAAAGTGACATTTATATTAATTTATTTGTTATTAAATAACAATAACAAACCCATTACATGTTAACATAAACAACATACTTTTATGGAAAATAGCTGTCTTCTCCAGCACAAAAAAATAGTGAAAAAAAAGGAATTATTTTACATTTGTAAAAATCTCTTTAATGTCTGGCTTAATAAAGCTAGCTTGGTTATATATTCTTCTACATTCAAGCTGTAACAATATGTTGTTTTGGCTAAAGTACAAGAGGAGAATCTGGCCTCACTCTTATACACAGTTGGGAAAAGAAGGAAAGTTTCAATAACCATTTCAGCTATTGTAACTGTTCTTCCTTGATAAGACACCAAAACTCAAGAAATGGCAGATTCTTAAAGGTTAGTTGCAGTGTGGAATCTGAAACCTTATAAATTAACTTTTCATATTCTGTTGTGTTAAAATTCACTAGTCTATCTTTAAATGGATCTTTTCCTCTATGCATGACTTTGCAATATCATGCATTGATTATTTGTAAATTATTGATTCATGGGTTTACGCAGTTTTTTAAAATGTTGACATATTTTATTAAACAATATTTTTTAAACCATATTTGTTAATATCACCACCAATCTCATCAGAAACATCTTTAAGTAGTGAGAAGCTGCGGCACACGTAAGTTTTCCAAAATTTTAATTTTCTCTTGAAATTCCAATTTCCACTGTCAATATTATTTTCTCTGATGGGATAGGCTCATTTTGTTTATTTTTGAGAAAATTTCTACCAAATACCCAAGTCTGAATAATCACAGTGTGCCTTTCAGTCATTCTTTCAAGGAAAATGATGACCCACTAAAAAAAAAATGTTTAACTTCACTCACAACTCATGCAATTACATAATGGCTTTTCCACAGGACAACTGCCTTTCCATCAGTATGCACCAGAAATGCTGCCTATGTTCTTACACTGACTATTAAACAGATGTGTGTTTGAGGTTTAAAATTTAGTAAACTAATGATTTTATTGCTTCATCAAAGTCACTGGCTTTTGCTTTTTTTTTTTTTTTTTTTTTTTTTTTAACTGTAAGCTTATGGCAGTGAAGAACATGACCTACCTGTACAGCTTGGTGTCACCACCTTGATTTGTGCTCAGGCACTAACAGTTTCATGTGACCACCATAGATTTCTGTACCACTATGTAAATAATACAGTGAAAAAGGCAAATAACATCTTAGTATTAGTACAAAAATAGCTTGACTTCATAGGCCCCTTGAAGGGTCCCAGGGACCCCCAGGGATCCATGGACCACACCTTGAAAACCACCACATGACAGGGATATCAACATAAGGAATGATGGTGAGCATTAAACATATCTCTACTCACAGAACTAAGACTAACAAGGGAGTAAGTAGTCTATGCAATGGTACAGGATCAACTAATATAGACATAGTTCAACTAGAAAGCGGGGGAGAACATAGGTAAAAAGGGAGAACACAGGTAATAGGGAGAATGTAGGTAAAAAGAATTTCAACCGTTTTCAGTAGCCATTTTGGTGGTTGTAGTATTAGTGTTATTATCCTTAGACTGCTGTCTATGTTAACTCAGGAAAAGCAAATAAGTATGGACATTCTAATTGTGTCTGTCCCTGTGTCCTTGAAAACCAGAGTTCTTGGTGTAAAAGAAAGGAGATGCAGAAGTAATATAGAGAAGACTGATTTTTTTTTTAAGATGGAGTATTGCTCTGTCACCAGGCCGCAGTGCAGTGGCACAATCTTGGCTCACTGTAACCTCCGCCTCCCAGGTTCAAGCGCTTCTCCTGCCTCAGCCTCCGGAGTAGCTGGGACTACAGGCGCACGCCACCACGCAAGGCTAATTTTTTGTGTTTTTAGTAGAGACGGGGGTCAAACACTGATCCTGCCTTTCCACTGTACCACTAAGTAGCCCACTAGTAAGTGGAGGGAAGTGTCTCTTCACTAGTAAATGAAGGGAACTGTCTCTTTGTAGCATTAATAAAGCATAAAATGAAGAAAAAATGACAGAATACCACCATTTAGCAATCCCCAATAAATTAACAAACCTAAGCAATTAGTATCAATGGTTGCTAACATCACAAAAAGAAACAGCTGGAAATTATGTCTCTCATGGTGAAAGGCCACAACACCACGTATAGATTTTCCAAAGGAAAAGATTGAACCAGAGTCTGATCCAGCCTCTGCATCCAGATGCCAATTTGCGGGAGGCACAGAAGGCAGAGGATGTGTTACACTGCACCATGTGTATGCAGCCAGCAAAATCCAGAGTGTGGGAAACTCTACAGGTCAAATGGATTGAGCTTTTCAACAGATTAATCATAAGGGGGAAAAAAAGGCTGATGGGGGAGAAACCAGTGAAGTATAAGAGACGTAAAAGACAACTAAGCTGTGGCGTCCAGGAACACATACCTGGGGGACTAGACTACAAAGACATGAAAGAGGTTACAATAAAATCAGGATATGGTCACTTTCGAGGGGAAGGAGAGGCTTTGATTGGCCTGACGTACAGAGACTTCTGCTGGAGCTGGCAAAGTCCTGTTCCTTGACTTGATTACAGGGGTTTTTCTTAAATAATTCACTAAAATGTACATTTTTTGTATCTCCATTTTATTTGACAATAAAAGGTTTTTAAAAACAGTGAAAAGGAAACAGTGACTACCTGAGCATTTGTCTTCTGAAGACTGTGGAGACTGCAGTTGGAAGACAGAAAGCTTTGGAGATCATGACTTATAGGAGTAGGGCTGGACCACAGAAAAGTAAATGATTTGGGGCTGGAAGGAGTAAGGTCTCAGGGGAGTTTCTGGACAATGCCCTTGGCAATGGGGATTAATGATGTACACGTAGAAGGGAGAAGGGCAGATGGGTGGGAGATGCATGATCTCAGAACACAGAGCTCCAGAATCAGTTCGGGCTCCTCCAAGGATCAGGGAAGAGAGTTATTCCCAGAACATTGACCTCATGAATGTCCTTTACCTCACCCAGGGCCCAGACTACTCATCACTACTTCAGGCTCCAGAGAGAGAAGCTTCAGTGAGGACCTTAGCATGACTGAGGGAGCAGAACAGCTCTTGAGACCTGGAGGCACAGTGATGAAGGTCTCAGGAGGCAGCCTCACCACCCCCCACAGCCGTTCCAGAGACTCAGGGGACAGTCCCATCCAGACAGCAGCAACCTTACTCCTCCCTACCCCCATGTCATCTCCCTCTGGCCAAAGAACCGGGAGAATGATCTGCCACTCAAAGACAAGGAAAAAGAGACATTACCTCATTACCAGACATCTGCGTCCTCACATATCCTGGAAAGAAATCGAGAAAAGAATGGATTGCCCCAATTAGGACCCAATATGATTATCCCGAGGGAAGAACAAATGGCTGGCAAGGTCAGCACTCTCTCTGCTTATCCCATTTCTAGCTTCAGAAAAAAATTATCCCGGTGATCCCTGAGAGGCACAATCAGCTTTCCTTGCCTCAGATCATTGACGTTAGGGAAGGTGGGAGTGGGGAAGGTCTGGGACAGGTGGCAGGGCACTCCTCACAGGCTCATTACCTTTCTGAGCCCTTAGCTGGATGACGATTCCCACCAGAAGGAAGATTAGCCCAAGTAGGAAGGCTGCAATGCCACTCAGCATCTTTCTCCAAGAATATTCAGACTGAGCTCCTATGGGAAACAGGTCTTTAAATTAGTAAAAATATCCCAATATTTAAAGCACTTTCTTGGAATCCCAGAATCTGTACTAGACACCAAATCCAATGCTAGCTAGAGAAAAATAAATAAATTTAGAAAAGGTTCTTCGAAACCAAAGTTGGCACCCATGGAGTTACCACCCATCGGTTACAGATTCTCACAGCCCATAAGAATGCCTCCTAAATACTAAGACCAAAGAATTAGAGGACACCAGTTCATAGGGTTGGAAGCACATAATGAGGTGATTAGATCTCCTCATTTCTTGGAAGATATGAGGATAGATATCTGCCATGTTTTCTCCCACCCTAACCCAAGGACTCTGGTTTCTGTGACTGTCCCAGATCAAGGGAAAGAATAATTCATGTTGTGACCAAGATAAACGCAGAAGTGACACAGGCTCTGTATTGAGTCAGTATAGTCCTGAGTCAGGCCCAGAGAGTACTAGAAACTAATTCTCACTCCACTCCACAGAAATAGGGCTCAGCAGGCTGGAGTGATCGACAAGGCAGGTGTAGACATGTCCAAGTTCAGGAGTCATTTCTAGCATCACCACAGTCTGAAAGGTCCAGTCTCCATTCCTGATAGGGCCAGTGGACATGACCCCAGCTCTCTCCTCCTGCCCATTCAGGAACCACTTGATCTTGATATCCCCTGGATAGAAGCCTGTCACAGAGCAGTGCAGCAGATTATGCTGGTGCAGGAGTGGGGTCCTCTCTGGGTACACTGTCACCTCTGGTTGCACTAGGAAGAGAGGAAAAATGAGACACCGTGAAAGAAAACCACCAAGCTGGGACAGGAGATTCTTTAGGGACTATCACTATGTCTAATCTCTTTCCCAGATCACCCAAGTGAACACAAAGTATAGGCAAGTCTCAGCCCCCAAGATCAGTAACAGGGTATGTCAATGCCTGTCAGGAGGATTTAGACTTTCTGAGGTACTCCCATAATTACTGCTTCTCTTTGAGGGTACAATAGCCCTCGAAGTCCCTGAGAACCTTGGGGGTCTGAGACCAAGATCACAGTGGCTGACTTGTGAGGATAATATATCACAGCTGGGGCCAGAACATCTACACAGACAACCATTTATCCTAAAGCAGAAAATTGCTTGTAAGAAAGAAGAGCCATGGCCAGGTTCACATGGGGGACATTCCTGAGCCCCGCCAGACCTCAGCTTCCAGCTCACCTTTTCTCCCCACAGTGAAGGGTGCGCCCAGCCTGTAGTTGTGTCTACAGACCCCATCCACGGCCTGTCTGCTCCTCTCCAAGAGATCCAGCCGGCTGTTCCACTGCTCAGCATCTGGCTGCCCCAGCTTGGTCAATGCCACAAACATCCCCACATCACTGTCGAAACGTACATACTCCTCCAAGTTAAAGATGAATCTGACCACAAACTGCACCTTTTCTGTCCCGTTGGTGAAGTAACAGTCAGCCTTTGCCTGAATCACAAAATCTTCTGGAAAACCAAAACCAAAACCATGAACCAGCCCCCTCCTCTGGGAAAACCCATGCCTGGTAAATTACGTCAGACCACATGGATCTAAGAGGAGGCCTTTGACCTCAGTATGCTCAAAAAGCACAGTGTCAAGTGAGAAAAGAAACAGAATGGGATTCAACAGAGAATGACATTTATTAAATTTTAAAAACACATAAAGAGCAATAATGCTACATATTTCTAAAAGCCACTCTCATACTTAGAGACATACCAGACACGTTTAGAATGGATTCTCTAGGGAGGGGAGAGAATGAGAACGGAGGCAAGAGAAGAGACGAGAGAGTCTTGCACTACTGCCAATAATTACAATGTGCTGTGAACTCATTGGGTAAAATTAAACCAATCCTATGCACTTAAGAACAACAACTACAATAAAAAGGAAATTCAAATGGAGTTAATAATGTAGGTAAGTCAGGAAGGACGTCCTGAAGACATTGCATCTAAGTCAAGACTTGAAAGATAATTGCTATTAATGTTGGGTTGTAATTTACTTTCCTTTCTAAGTTCAGAAGCCTCCTCCAACTCTGAACTGAGCCATAAGAATGACCTTCCTGGGTGAACCCCACTTATCCCTCACTCAGTAGCTAATTTCAGATGAAGTTCCAGCCTGTAATTTCTCAGCATGTATACTCTTCTCTATTTCCTCTAGTAGTCTAAACCAGGGGGGAAATCTGAATTTTTCATCATCATTTAACATCTGTGCTGATTTTTTTTTCAGTTGTATTGTTTAATGGACATTATAAACTCAGGGCGGTTTCTATTCTCTAAGAATAATGATCTCTCCTGGCCAGGTTTGTTCCTCTTTTGTATTTAATGAAACTAACATGCAAAGGGGATTCTGTTCTTAGCACATTACATCCTGTTTCTGCTCATTAATATGTGCTTTCATCTCACATTGCTTCATGGCTGCATATTCTGTCACCTGTGCTAGAAAAATAACAGTTACAAGTAACTTGTACCTGGTAGCCGGAGGACAAGGACAATGTATTCTATTCAACTTCTCTTACTTCTCAAAACTGTTTAGTACAATTCTGACAATATAATAGTGGCTTAATAAATGACAGAAGGAGCAACCTTTGTTTCCAGTTTCATTTGTCCACATATACCCCAACTGAGATTTGTTTCCGTGTCCTGACCAAAAAATCACAGATTGCCTCTGTGACCCAGCCTACTGCAGGTTGTTTCTCCCAGCAGGCTCGAACCCAAGCCAAGGCCTTCAACACGCCCAGGCACTGACTGAGGTTGATACACACAATAAGGATCCTAAACAAGACACAATGTTTCCCTCTTCCTGCCTCCCTACCCCTTGAATAGGTGGCTCTGGTATATGAAGTCCATCCCATGTAAAGAGGCAAGGCGTACCTTTCTGCCAAAGGGAAGAACACTGTTCTTTGAAACCAAAAGCCACTTCCAGTCTGGTCTGTGGCCTGGACTTACAAAGAAAGGCATCACTCCCCCATGCCAATTCTTGCATACACACTGGAAAAAAATAATTGCTCTGTTCTTACCTGGAGAGTCTGTGCCTTGAGTCATGGAGGAATCCAGTCGGGTCAGATTCACTAGCAGAGCCACCACCCAGGGGACCCACCCAGAACCCATTCTGGAGAAAGGAAAAAAATGAGACAGTAAAATCGTCAGCCTCTTCAGAATGAGTTCATAAAATTCAGTCAGAAAGTACCCATTAAGAGTATAAATCGCTGTTTTTCTGGCTTCCCCAGGATTGGAAACTCCTCAGATTGACAACCAATCAAGATAGAAGAGTTTTGCATCATCAGGTACTGGGTAGGATACTTTCACAAAGTTGTGTCATACAACTCAACCATTGTTTGCCTGCAGAATCACTGACAGTAATTTAGGTATACTAAAAATGGGCTGGGAGAAGAAGTAAAAATATATGTTTGACATATTATGGGGCCCTAGAAGAACTAGGCAGACTGTTTATTATGTATTCTTCTATTCCCTGGCCTGTTCTGACCAATAGGTCTCCCTTCTTATTGGGTGTTGACATTGCCGACAGGCAGTGTGTAAATTAAGAAGGAATTAAGAGTATGTAAATTAAGCATTCTGAAGCATATGCCTCAAGAAGATTTAGTAAAGGGATTATCAGAGAAGAAATAGAAGACATAGAGAACATTTGGAGAGTACGATTTCCTATAAGCCAAAATGACCACAAAAAAAGAAAAGAAAAGAAAACATGGAAAGAGAATTCTCAAAGAATAAAATTTTGCAAAAAGGCTCACCAGGATACAATCTAAGAGAGCATTATTGTGTTTTATGGTTAGTAGGGCACCAATAACCTTCAAGAGGACAGCAGAGTGTTAAAGGTAGAAGCCATATTTCAAAAGAATGAATTGGAAACAAGAAAACAAAGGCCGCAGATTAAAACAGTCTTTCAAGAATTTTGAAAGTGAAAACAAAGGAAAAAATGGGATACACTTTAGAAAAAAACAACACTAAGAAAAAATACTTTTCTTGGGTTTTTTAAATTGACACGTAATAATTGTACATATTTATGGGGTACAGCATGATGTTCCAACACACCTATACATTGTGTATTGATCAAATCAGGGTAATTAGTATGTGACATATATACATGATGGAATACTATTCCGCCATAAAAAAGCATGAAATCCTGTCATTTTCAACAACATGGGTGAACCTGGAGGGCTCTATGTTAAGTGAAATAAGCCAAGAACAGAAGGACTATATTACGTGATTTCACTCATATGTGGAATCTAAAAAAGTTGACCTCATCGAAGTAAAGAGTACGTTAGTAGTTACCAGAGGCTGGGGAGTCAGGGGTAGAAATGGGTAGAGGTTGGTAACAAGTACAAAGTTACAGTTAGACAGAAGGAATGAGTTCTGGTGTTTTGGGAAAAGAAACTTTTAAGACAGGAGAGACTTCAACAAGGTTGCAAGTGAAGTGCAAGGTATCTGTAGAAAGGAGAAACTGAAGAGAAAAAAGAGAAGAAAGGGGACATTTTCTCCAAAATGCTGTGGTCTGAATGTCACTCAAAATTCAAGTGTTGCAATTTAATCACCAATGTGATAGTATCAAAAGGTGGGCCCTTTAGGAGGTGATTAAGTCATGAATGCAGAGGCCTCCTGAATGGGATTAGAGACTTTAAAAAGGGCTAGAGAGAGCAGGGATGATGGCTCATGCCTGTAATCCCAGCACTTTGGGAGGCTGAGGAGGAAGATTGCTTGAGGCTAGGAGTTAGAGACCTGCCTGGAAAACATAGTGAGACCCCCATGTCCAAATAAAATTTAAAAAATTAAAGAAATAAACATGGTGGCATGCACCTGTGGTCTTAGTTACTTTGGAGGCTGAGGTGGGAAGACTACTTGAGCCCAGAAGTTCAAAGTTGCAGTGAACCATGAATGCACCACTGTACTCCAGCATGGGTAACAGAACGAGGCCCTGTCTCAATCAATCAATCAGTCAATCAATAAAAATAGAAGGGCTGGAGGCAATAGCTTGGCACTTTTGCCCTTCTGCCTTCCTCCTTGTGAGGACTGTTACACTGGAATGATTTGACTCAAGTGTTTAGTTAAGTATTCTTTCAGTAAAACCTAGACAGTAAAACACTATCTTTAAGCAAATAAAACCAAAAGTGCAAATTGTAATTCACCATCTATGTTATTATTATTTAAAGGGCAATGTTTACTCATCATTTCACATCATCTTTCAGCATGAAATGTGGCCCTGATTTGCCTATACTGTGCATGTTAAGAATGAACCCAGGGTATCATGGTAACCACAAGTTCACTTCAGTGACTTTTTTCAAGTCGATGGCCAAGGCATCAAATCTTCCAGGGCCATGACCTTGAACTTCTAGCTTCCAGAACTGTGAGAAATAAATTTCTGTTCTTCATAAATTACCCTATCTCGTGTATCTTGTTACAATAACACAAATGGACTAAGATAGAGAGCATAAGGCTTGGGGGAAGAAGGGTACACTTCTTCAGATAAAAGAATAAAGACAGGACGATTAGCAGGGGATAAAGGGGAATGAGGAAGTTCCATTTAGATGGTTGCAAGGGAGTCAGCTGAGAACAAGGCAAGATCTGTCAAAAAGGAGTTGGAAGAAAATATATTTGATAACTAAGAAGAGCAAGAAGTGGTCTGTAAGTGAGTTTTTAAAGTTTTAATTAAGCAGGATTCAGAAAAGAGAGGTGAGATGCAATTGTGCAACCTTTTACTGTTCTATGACCCTTAGTAAATGCCCTTGGTTAGAGGCCTGGATCAGACCAATCAGAAAAATAATTTCTTCTCCATGGGAGATTATAACAGGTAAAGAAAAAGAGAGCAAGACGTGGAAGACATCGCTAGTGTTCATCCTCTAATTCCTAGGCCCATGGAAAACGAGAAACTAGACTTCCTACTCTCCTGGAGCTGTGTGACTCGTTCTCACCAATGGAAAGTGAACAAAAGGTTCCCGGTCAAAGAATTTAACTCCTCGTGCATGACTCTTCTCCTCCTCCCCTACCAAGTCAACCAAGACAGCCTTGTGTTGAGATGGCACAATCCCAGTAGAAAAGCAGTCTAATTAGCTGAGTCACCATGAAGAGCAGCTGCCCCAGGGAATCACTCACACCTACAACACACTCTGTATGAATGAGAAACAACTGTTCTTTAAAGAAGGTACTGGCTTGGTTACCACAGCCTGGCCTGACTTGACTTAACTGCTACAGGACAGGAGCTAGGAGGCTGACCCCTCTCCCTCCACATCTCTCATGTAAATGTGACGATTCATGAAGTGGAAGGCTGGCCACAGGCTTACTGGTAGACCCCCGAGTACAAGGCATTTGACCCTGGTTTTGAGTACTCCTCCTCCAGGTGGATGGCTGTGGAGCTCACACTGGCGAGGGCTTGTGTGGAGCCGAGGATAAGGAGGCATCAGAGGGCACTCAAGCCACTGGGTCTAACTTCCTCCCTTCTTCCTGCCCACACCTACCTTAGTCTTTCCCAGATGTTTTATTGCATTTGGAAATGGAGACAAACACTCAACACAGGCTAAGTGAACAAGGACACGGCACGGAGATGATCAGATGCAGTAACAGCATGAGCGGGTGGAAGAGGCGTGTGTCCCCTTCTTTGTAGACAGCACCATGGCTGGCTTCTGCAGCTTCCCTCAGAGCTGAAGGAAGGGCCATGTGGAGAGGAGAGGAAGGGCCTAGACAATATGGATCAAACGGGGGCCTGTATTTAGATTTAGAGGAGAGAGGGGGTTGATAAATGGCAAGGGATGTGGGGATGGGGAGGAAGTGGAGGATATGGCGCTGGACCAGAAAGTTAGGAGGGCTGCTCTTTCTTCTCTGTAAATGTGTCTAAGGCTCACAAACTCTAAAATCTGACTTGCCTACATAATAATAGCTAATGTTTGTCAATTGCTTATTATGAGTTCATTTTCTAAGCATTATATAAATGTGTGCGTGTGTGTGTATGAGAGAGAGAGAAAGAGAGAGAATCATCACACAAAACCCTTTGCAGTAGATACTATCATGATCTCCCTTTTACAGATGAGGTAAGGATGGAATGAACCAAAGTTCACATAACTAGTAAGTCCCTAGGCTGTACTGTTTCTGTCACACTGTATTTCTTGGGAAGCCAGGGAAACTTTATTCCTACAGCTTTAGCATTCCGGTAATGATAAGGTACACAAAAAGGGAAAATAACCAAGGAATTTCATCATAGCTGTTTGGTGTCAGGACAGATCTCTGTAAGGAAATCATATCCTACCTAACCAAAGGAAATCAGTGATCTCACATGACAAGCAAGGAATGGCATAGAGCCTGGCATGGGAACTAAGAAGAGAAAGCAATAAGCTTCAGTTAGCAAGCTATGGATCTCCTTAGATGGCCTCTGGTACATCTTAAATAAACTGAAGCATCAGATTCACCCCCATTAGAAGCGTTTTTGAGTCATTTTCTGTGCATAGTGTCAGTGTCTACGATAGAAGGGCCTGGGCTTATCAGAGACACTGTTCAGTTCTGGGGAGACAAGAGGAAAAAGATGTGGTTTTCTTCCTTTCTCCTGTATTTATGTTTTTGTCTTCTACTTGAACGAGCCTGAAAAATAGGGCAGGGTGTTTTGATCTTTTTTTCCTGCCTGACTTCAGCCAGCAGCCCTCCCTAAATAGCTACAGGCTCCTCTGTGATTTTTCACTCAAGCTCATATTTTGCTTCTCTCTTTTCTTTCCTTCCCCTTTCTCTGAGGAGTGAGAGAATTTGGGTGTATGTGTGGTTGTTTTTTGAGGGTGGCATAAAATTATTATTCTCCCTATTGCCTGACACAAATATCCCTTCAACTGCTATTTTGGTGACTTTGACATGGAAGTAAAACGTACGTCTCAATTCATTTTCTTCCTTCTACTTCCTCCTAACACATCAACATAATCCACACTGCCCTGGAGGAGTTATGAAAAATATTCTGAGTTTCTAGGTAGAATATTAAATCATACTTTTAGAGAACACATTGTTGAGCTACAGTTTAATTGAAGGAATTGTACTAGGCTAAGAATTTTGCCAGCTCAAAATACTGGTTTAATTCTTTCTCAGTGGTGATTGACGTCTCAAACCAGCAAGAGGTGTAACATGAGGGGAAGGGGCTGGGGAAGAGGGAAAGGATGTAAGAAACAAAAGAAATAGTTAGAATTTGGGGTGTCCAAAGCAAACTCATGATCCCACCTAGTGAGAATCCATTTGGAAACTGAGGAACCAAAGGCTTTGGGCTCCAATCTGCAGCCACTTCTTTGATACGACTTTGGGATAGGTGGACTCACCCGAAGTATTGTTTTACATGTACTATTTGCCTCAATTTCCCTGTGATGGTTTTGTCCATCACCTCATCCTGAAAAAATAAATGTTGGTGATGCTTTGTTCCACATATTCGTTCATTTGAACTCATTATTCCCAGGAAATATCCATTGAAATTCAAAATATCATGAACTTCCAAAGGGTTTTCTAGAAAAAAAAAACAAAAAAAACCCCTTGATCTTAATGGGTGTTTTTTAATCTGTGCTAGAATCTGTTTGGAATGTTTTATTTAGGATTTTTGTGTCAGTATAATAAGTAAATTCATCTACAATTTTTATATTTGTGCATTGTCATAGTTTAACATCAATATTATACTTGCTTCATAAAAAAATTTTCTTCTATGCCATTGAGCCATTTAATTTTTGTTTGTTTGTTTGTTTGTTTTAGAGACAAGGCCTCACTCTGTTGCCCAGGCTGGAGTGCAGTGGCACAATCATAGCTCACTGCAGCCTTGAACTGGGCCCAAGCGATCCTCCCACCTCAGCCAAGTAGTTGAAACCACAGGCACGAGCCACCACATCTGGCTAATTTTTGTATTTTTTGTAGAGACGGGTTTTCGCTGTTGCCCACACTGGTCTTGAGCTCCTGAGTTCAAGCAATCCGACTGCTTAGGCCTCCCAAAGTGCTGGGATTATAGGTGTGAGCCACTGCACCCGGCCTCTATTTTCAATTTTAAAAGTTTGATATAGATGTAGCATATCTATTTTTTTATTGATAGTAATATCTTCTATCTTCTGTGTTCATACTTTTTTTTTTTTTTTTTTGAGGCAGAGTCTCACTGTGCCGCCCAGGCTGGAGTGCAGTGGTGCGATCTTGGCTCGCTACAACCTTTGCCTCCCAGATTCAAGCAATTCTCCTGCCTCGGCCTCCCAAGTAGCTGGGATTACAGGCGCCCACCACCACACCCAGCTAATTTTTGTATTTTTGGTAGAGACAGGGTTTCACCATGTTGGCCAGGCTGCCCTCGAAATCCTGACCTCAGGTGATCCGCCCGCCTTGGCCTACCAAAGTGCTGAGATTACAGGCATGAATCACCAGGCCCAGCCTATTTTTTTGTCCACTTAACTGGTCTAGTCCAGGGAAAGGGAATTAAAGTGTTCTATTGGTAGTACATTTCTGAATATTTTCCTTGTATCTACC